>NT_167245.2:2414228-2600672 GCF_000001405.40 Homo sapiens
CTGAAGCTGGGGTATGGGGATGTCTGCATTGACATCATCATCATTCATCAAAGCCCTATTGAGCATGTTGAGTCCAGTGCCTGGACTCACAGGACCTAAAGTCTGGCTGAGATCGTGGAACATGATCTCCCTAGAGAGAGCTACATACAGGAGGATTCAACATCAAATGTGTATATCATTAGGCCACACATTCTTTTTGTTTTTTGGTGGTTTTTTTGTCTTATTTATTTTTTTATTTTTAGGCCACACATTTTAAGTGGAAAGGTTGGAAGAACACACAGGGACTTCTCAATTCTAATTTAAGGGCAAGAAGTTTGAGGGAGGAATGGGCATAGAGAGGTCGTAAGCTTCCAGTATCAATATGGTGAGGCCAGGTGCTAGTTAAAAGGCATTTATTGGCTGGGCGCGGTGGCTCATGCCTGTAATCCCAGCACTTTGGGAGGCCGAGGCGGGCGGATCACGAGGTCAGGAGATCGAGATCATCCTGGTTAACACGGTGAAACCCCATCTCTACTAAAAATATAAAAAACTAGCTGGGCGTGGTGGCAGGTGCCTGTAGTCCCAGCTGCTTGGGAGGCTGAGGCAGGAGAATGGCGTCAACCTGGGAGGCGGAGCTTGCAGTGAGCCAAGATCTCCCCAGTGCACTCCAGCCTGGGCGACAGAGTGAGACTCCATCTCAAAAAAAAAAAAAAAAAAAAAGGCATTTATTGAGTGTTAGGTATACTTTATGAGGAGTCTGAGAGAACAGTACATAAATAACACAGTGCCAGCCTTTAGAGAAATCGTCTACCAATGTCACGTGAAGTTTAATCCAGCTTGGAACATGGCTCCTGAGGCAGCTCTCTGAGACCCAGGACTATAAGAGATTGTTGTTGTTGTCGTTTTTAGAGACAGGGTATCACTGTGTCACCCAGGCCTCAATGCAGTGGCTGGATCATAGGTCACTGCAGTCTTCAACTTCTGAGCTCAAGGGGTCCTACCACCTTAGCCTCCTGAGTAGCTAGGACTACAAATGCATGCCACCACAGCCAGCTAATTATTTTCTGTGGAGACGGAGTCTCGCTTTGTTGCCCACGCTGGTCATGAACTCCTGGGCTCAAGTGATCCTCCTGCCTCAGCTCCCAAAGTGCTAGGATTATAGGTGTGAGCCGCCATATCTGGCTCGCTCTTTCTTTCTTTCTTTAGTAGCAGCGATCTGTAGGCTAGGGAAATTAAGTGACTTGCCAAATGTCCTCTAGCTGGTAGCCAAACTAGAAATAGAGTCTCTGTCTCCTGACACCCAGTCTAGTATTCCTTCTTCATCATGCTGCTTCTTCTAATGTAATCCTATTCTGGAGCAAAATGGCAGAATGATATCCCAGTACATCTGGGAAAAGACACATGAAACAAGAATAAGAATGTTTACAGATAATACGACAGCATGGCCAGCTCCCACAGCATGTCCTCTGTAAAGGCTTTCTTCCATCAGAATGAACCCACACTGCCACAGTGCTGGGTCTCTACCTCTAGTTTGCACTTCTTCATCTTGCCTCATACCATGCTTTACCATCAGCTGGTGGTCAATCTATCTCCCCTCTTAGGATTTTAGATTCCTTATTAATTACAAATTTAAGTCAGGATTTGTCTTATTCACTATTGTTATCCTCATCCCTAGCACTTAGCACACTGCTTTATTATTTATGCACTGTAGGAACTAATTGCTTACATAAAAATGAGTACGTTCTGGAAACTAGGGCCGAAATAGGGTAAGGAGTTTATTCCAGTGAGGAAGGGTCACTAGCAAGCAAGCCTGAGAAAACGGCGTGGATGGATCCCTACCTGCCTCTCCGCCCTGGCTCCTGCCTGTCACTGGAAACATCCCGTTCCCACATGGTCACTTGAGGTCTCTGGGTGTCTAGCCGCCTCTCTGAGACATCTTGATGGCCTGGGGGTTGGACCAGGGGAATGTCTGAGAGCCAGGTGGGAGCCATTCTTGGCAGAGTTGAAAGGGGCCGAGCTTGAAAGTGGGAGGGGGGAATCAGCCCAGTGGAACCTGAAGAATTACAAAAACAAAGATGGTCAGTTTCCCAGGCAGAGACAACCACCACTCCCCTTGTCTGGTCCCACTGACCTGAAGGTGGAAACATCTCCACATTATTTGAAGGCTCTAGATTCTGTCTTCAGCCATCTATGTTCCCCTGGACAAGAGGAGAAACAAAGACACTCCAATTCAATTTTCAGGCCACCTTCCAAAGAGAAAGCCCCTACAATAACAAAGTCATAATCCTTGAATTATAGCCAGGTCCACCCGATGCTTAGCTCTTTTCCTACTTCCCCAAAGTAGGAGATACCCCAAATTCACTTGCTTGTCTCAACCTGGTTCCTCATGGAACCCAAGCAACTAACTATCAAGTGGAGAGAATTTACTGAAAGAGACAGACTGAGAGGGGCTCTGAGGCTTTACTCATACTTTCAGGATTCTGGGCAGTGCCTTTACCCTCCTCCTTAAGTTTCTATGGTCCCTGCTGCTCCTGGCCAGAGGTGAGAAAGGAGGTACACAGTGCAGGGGTCTTGAGCGCCATCTCCAGAGTTCTCTCCATGGCTCAGCAAGGCCTGAGGGAAGCCCATCCAGACACCAGCAGGCCATGACTCTTGGGTCCTTCCCTGTTAAAGTGCTGGCCCAAGGCCTGGCCCCAGCTGAATGTGGCCACATGCAGGGCTAGACCCTCCCCAAGACCTTGGGAATCCAGGCCGCCTAGATCCCCAGGCAGAAAAGCCAGCGTCCTGACATCTTATTCAAATCTTTCCTGCGGCTGTTCTCTCAGCTTCTCTCTACTATCCCCTTAGCTTCCATGCCTGCTGCCCGCCTCCTCTTTCTCGAGTCCTAACACATAGTGGGCACTTGAAGATCTTCCTCCCACCCTCCCACCCTCATTAATCTATTTTTTACCCGAATCTGGGATCCCTACTCCCGTCCCTTTTTACAACCTAATCTACCTTTTTCTGAAGGAATTATTCTGGTCCTGACCCTCACCCCCATGTCTCAATAGCCTGCCCTCGCCCCCTGTACGCTAGCCGGCTCTACTCTCCCACCACTGCTCCCCTAGATACCAGAGGCTTCACCCAGTTAGCCCGTGAGCTCTAAGGCTGTTCTGATCTCTTCATCTGTCCCTTCACCTGGCCCCTGTACCCCCTTCCCCTTTGGACCCCTTGAACCCTCCCAGGACCCCCGCTCAGCCCCTTCCCGCCCCCAACCGACTCTTCCCGAACGTCCCTTACCAACCGCGAGAGCCCCCTACTGCGCTTTGGCCACTCCCCCTACGCCTCGCTCCCGGCCCCGCCTCTGCCCCTGACCGCGCCTGCGCAAGGCGGGCGCCCTAAAGTCCTATTTCACTCTGTTGGGAGGAGGGGGAAAGGTGTACGCAGGCGCAGTGGCGTCTAAATTTGGGCCCACTAAATGCGTCGGAGCATCTCCGCGCCCAGGCGGCTCCTCCTCACTGCGGCAACCCGGGAAAACTTGTGAACTAATCAGAAAAAGTGGAAGGCGGGAGATCTTGGGGCGCTGTCCAATGGCGCGGAAGAGAACAAATGAGCTGGCCAATCGGGAACGGCACGGGGGCGGGCTCGCTCGGCGCGAAGTTCGGGCCCGGGAATTCCGAAGGAGGGGTAGGCGCTGCCCGCGCGCAGAGGCCGCGCCCCTCCTGGCCCCGGCTTCTTGGCTGTCAAACAGATGCAGCAACGTCGGCTCCTGCCGAGGAGCCCAAGGGGTCCCGGGATCCGCCGCACAGGCTGGCACTGCTTGAAGAGGAGGCTACTCGGAGACTGCGCCGCGCGGGTAGATCCGAAACGGGGCTGGGGCGGAGTGGGAAAAGGCCGGGTATGCCTTGCATGATCGCGGGGAGCTCCTTCCTGTTTTTATCCCACCTAGAGAAGCCGGGAAGTAGGGGTTTAGGTCCAATTTGTTGGAGTACTTAAGGACTCGTTTGCACTTTCTTTTGGGGGATGACAGTGGATTCATTGCCCTCGGAGGTTCAACCAGTTATGAGTGAGGGATTGGCCAGAAGATCGGGGCGCAGGCAAGCAGGAGTGCTCTATTAGGATAAGCAAGTTTGACAGGAAGAAGCTGCTCTTCTCCGAATTACACAGAGGTGATGTGTTCGTATTGCACGTAGACGTGTGTATAACAGGACCTCCTTCCCCGCGCCCCGCCACCCCGACACACACAGGAGCTGCCTAAAGTATCCTTGCCTTGCAGATTGGAGGCTCCCCAAATATTTTGTGATCTGAGGATCCAGCTCAAGTGAGGTGCCATAGGACGTGTTCCTGAGTTTGCATTGCACGGAGACCTTCCTGGAATTTTTCATTTGCAAGTCGGCTTAACCAATTTTGCATTGAGTCCTAGGCTGCTTGCACTCTGAATTTGGGCTATTCAGGTAGTGTGCTCAAAGTTGAAACCGCATACAGCACAACTCAAGTTTGCATCAGACTGGGAAGCGAACTTAAGCCAGCGGTGCGTGGCCCAGGAGTGGGAAAGGAAATGGATGCCTGAAGTGGAAGAGGTGGTGCAGAGGGGGCACCGCCCATGCTGCCCTGCTTCCAACTGCTGCGCATAGGGGGCGGCAGGGGCGGTGATCTCTACACCTTCCACCCCCCCGCCGGGGCTGGCTGCACCTATCGCTTGGGCCACAGGGCCGACCTGTGTGATGTGGCCCTGCGGCCCCAGCAGGAGCCTGGCCTCATCTCTGGGATCCACGCCGAACTGCATGCCGAGCCCCGGGGTGATGACTGGAGGGTCAGCCTGGAAGACCACAGCAGCCAAGGTGAGCATTAAGCAGGGCAGCTTTGCCCCTGGGTGGTTGAAGCGCCAGGCTGGAATGAGTAAGGTCTCCACAAGACCTTGCTGCCTGCCTCCCATACTCCCATCAGATTGGATGGATAGTCGTGGTCCAGACCTTCATCTTCCCACCAGAAGTGTGCACAGTCAGAAGCTCTCTGCCAGACTGACCCTTTTTGGTCCCGTTTAGCTCATACAGGACCTGGGATATCATCAGAAAGATATCACAGTGGGGATGTTCTGAGGCCACTAGAGGCCAAGTTTAGACTTGATTCAGTTTCCAGCTTTGCTGAGGCACTCTGTTCCTGGGTTAGGGCAGTTCTATGTTGAATAATGTTTTTAATAATCTGGGCATGTCTTTCTCCGTGACTTGAGGCAGTTAGCCTCAGAAAGCCTAGATTCACATTTGAGTTTTGCCACTGCCTCTTGGTAAAGTCAGCTGTAGGAGTGTTATGGTTATTAGACTATAGTAGCCAACATTCATCTAGTGCTTACTGTTATGAGCCAGGCCCTATTTTAAGTGTATTGAATGTAGGTGGTACTAATATTATCCTCATTTACAGTAAAGGAAAATGAGGCACAAAGAGGTTAAGGAACTTGTCCAGGGCTGGGCATGGTGGTTTACACCTATAATCCAGCACTTTGGGAGGCTAAGGCAGGGTGGATCACTTGAGCTCAGGAGTTCGAGACCAGCCTGGGCAACATGGTGAAAACCTGTCTCTACCAAAAAATTAATTAATTTTTTAAAAAAAGCCTGGGCGCGGTGGCTCACGCCTGTAATCCCAGCACTTTGGGAGGCCGAGATGGGCAGATCACGAGGTCAGGAGTTCGAGACCATCCTGACCAACATGTTGAAACCCCATCTGTGCTGAAAAAAAAATACAAAAATTAGCCAGGTGTGGTGGCGTGCACCTGTAACCCCAGCTACTCAGGAGGCTGAAGCAGCAGAATCACTTGAACCCGGGAGGCGGAGGTTGCAGTGAGCTGAGATCGCACCACTGCACTCCAGCTTGGGCGACAGAGCGAGACTCCATCTCAAACAAACAAACAAACCAAAAGCTTGCCCAGGGTCACATAACTGGTAAGTGGTAGAGCTAGGATCTGAACGAGCTGGAGCTGGGGGAGAGTGAGCATGTTTGAAAACTGGACCTTAGGGCGGGGCACGGTGGCTCACGCCTGTAATCCCAGCACTTTGGGAGGCTGAGGCGGGCAGATCAGGAGGTCAGGAGTATGAGACCAGCCTGGCCAACATGGTAAAACCCTGTCTCTGCTAAAAATAAAAAAATTAGCCAGACGTGGTGGCACATGCCTGTAATCCCAGCTACTCAGGAGGCTGAGGCAGGAGAATTGCTTGAACCTGGGAGGCGGAGTGCAGTGAGCTGAGATTGCACTACTGCACTCCAGCTTGGGCAATAGAGCAAAACTCCATCTCAAAAAAAAAAAAAAGAAAGAAAAAAAAAGAAGAAAGAAAGAAAATTGGACCTTAGGACAGTGAGGGCAGGGATCCTTTGTAGGAAAGCACAAGAAACACAGACTTGTTCCTAGCTGACAAGGAGTGTACTGCCTGGTACCTGTCACCTGCTGAGGGGCTTAGGATGTGAGGGAGAATCTGACTACAGTTTCATATTCTTCCCCAGAAATCATACAGATTTCTCCACTCCTGACTCTGGTCATTTCTGTTTTTGTCCTCCATATTTGCCTGGTGCCCCACCATCAACAGGTACTTTGGTCAATAATGTCCGACTCCCAAGAGGTCACAGGCTGGAATTGAGTGATGGAGACCTCCTGACCTTTGGCCCTGAAGGGCCCCCAGGAACCAGCCCCTCGGAGTTCTACTTCATGTTCCAACAAGTACGAGTCAAGCCTCAGGACTTTGCTGCCATTACCATCCCACGGTCTAGGGGAGAAGCCCGGGTTGGGGCTGGTTTCCGGCCTATGCTGCCCTCCCAGGGGGCTCCACAGCGGCCTCTCAGCACCTTCTCCCCTGCCCCCAAGGCCACACTGATCCTAAACTCCATAGGCAGCCTCAGCAAGCTCCGGCCCCAGCCCCTCACCTTCTCCCCTAGTTGGGGTGGACCAAAGAGCCTGCCTGTTCCCGCCCCACCTGGGGAAGTGGGGACCACGCCTTCTGCTCCACCCCAACGCAATCGGAGGAAATCTGTTCACCGAGTGTTGGCGGAACTGGATGATGAGAGTGAGCCTCCTGAGAACCCGCCACCGGTCCTTATGGAGCCCAGGAAGAAACTCCGTGTAGACAAAGCCCCACTGACTCCCACTGGGTAAGTGGAGTCCTCACTTGGCCCTCTCAGTGTTTTACTGCTTTTCGATTCCTTGTATCCCTAGGCTGTGAGGAGGTCCCCCTGCCTGGGGGGATGGGCACGGGAGGTGGAATAGATGGAATGGCAAGACCTGGGTTAGCTCTGATAGGAAAAGAAAAATATGTGCAGGAGAACATGAGAGGTGGGGTGGGGCAGTGCTTATAAAACAACCGGAGTGAGCATGTCCTGCTTTTTACATTCATATGGCTTTAACCCCATTCTTCTAGTGCCTAAGGATGGGGAACTTTCAGGCTCACACTAGAGGTTTTTAGGCCCACCCTATGTGTTTTTAAGGACAGAGTCCAGGCTCACCTTAGTTCTCAGACCACTGTGCCTCTGTGGCCTCACCCTATGACCAGCCATAGGGTGGCAAGGTCTAGGCCTTCTCCTACAGGTTTCCGGTGACCCTTGTGTCTGTGTCACTTCCTTCAGAAATCGACGTGGCCGTCCTCGGAAGTACCCAGTGAGCGCTCCCATGGCTCCCCCTGCAGTTGGGGGCGGGGAGCCCTGTGCAGCTCCTTGTTGCTGCCTGCCCCAGGAAGAGACAGTGGCCTGGGTTCAGTGTGATGGCTGTGACGTCTGGTTCCATGTGGCCTGTGTTGGCTGCAGCATCCAGGCTGCCAGGGAGGCCGACTTCCGATGCCCAGGGTGCCGGGCTGGCATTCAGACCTAAGGTCCACCGCCAAGGCACCATCGGACACACCTGCCCATGAGTAGACACAGCAGCGAGCAAATAGGTCTGATAAATACCCCCCTTCCCTTCCCTCCCCAAGAGGGAATGACTACAGGGAAGAAGGATGGATTGATGTGGACTCATTCAGGGCCTGGAGCAGACCCTGGTGGCCAAGACAGAAGAGATGGTTTCCTGCCAAAGATATTGCCACCTCCAGGAAATTGCCAGTGAGCTGGAAGTTCCCACTATTACAAGCCATAAGGCCATGTTGCCATGGACACCAGAATATCTGTAGTCAGAGCACCTATCAGTTGCAAAAGCCATGCCTGCAACCGATGGAAAATGTAAGAGGGAGTTCTTAAGGTTCTTGGTGGCATCACCCAAGGCATTCTGGGAAAACCTAGGGCCTGGCCCCAAAACTTCCCTACTCTGTGGCTAGTCCTGCTGCCAACAAAATCGTAGCGACCTGGCTTTTCACAGCTTTGCTTTTATTTCCAAGTCAAGGACAAGCCGCTTCATTCACTCCTGGGCATTTACTCTTCTTGTGGGTCTGTGATATTCCTTGCTTTCCAGGGAGAATGTGCTTGGCAAGGTCTGGAGAACTAATTCAGAATCTTAGGGGAAGGGGAGAGATGGAAATACAAACCTGCTTACTGGAAAGGTGCAAATATATGGGTTGAGCTGGAGGTAGGAATACAGGTAATTAAGGTTTCTAGTTTAAGGGAAAACAGATCTATTGCCATTTAAATAAGGTAACTGGGATTTGGTTAAGTTCACAAAGATAGCAGAAGATTTATTTACAGGCTTCACCTGTACTGTCAGGGCAAGAGAAAGCCTGGTAAACCAGCTACAGCAGTTTACCAGTGTGATGGCTGTGACACAGCTCCACTCCACGGGTGGACACAGCAGAGGGCAACTGGGCTGGCCTGGTTCAGTGTGAATCAAACCGCTTAACCCACACATGGTACATGTGATTTTCTTTTGTGAGCCTTACACCAAGCCAAACTATTGTCAAAGCATCATTTCTATAGAAATAAAGCCTTATCTTGACCTGTTCTATTAAAACCTGCCACATCCGCCCTTTCCTACCTAGATTTAATGAGCCCAAGTTTTTTTACATGGAAGAAATGACTCTGGGGCAAAGACCCCTAATGAACTAGTGGCAGAGCCAGGAATAAAACTTGAGTAACTAATGAGTCACTTATGGGCAGAGTATGCAAAAACCTTAAGTGGAAACCAAATAGACCCTGGTATCAAGAAAGCACAAAGTATTAATAGAAGTTTCTGGTTGGGGTGATCTAGGTTCAACAGAAATAAGATGATTTCTAAGTATAAAGCCATTTAAGAATTCCAGAGTAGGGTGGGAAAGCAAAAAGCCAGCTCTGAACAGGTAACAGCTACATGGTGACTGAGTCTATGGGCAAAAGTTCTTGCATCACAGGCTTTTGGGAACTAGCCTATCACAGGGCCCTGTACAAATAAACTTGGCTGCAATCCCAGCTCTCCCTCTGATGTTGTGTGACCTTAAGGAGTGTAAATGGCACCTTAGTTTCAGGGTCACTTGGGTATGAGCATTGGATATTCCCATCCCCACCTCAGTAACTGAAGGACAAACCAAGATAAGTGTGTCTATCTACTGTGTCCCAAGCTTCTTTATTTAAGAAAAAAGTGATACATGATGTGGGATTAAAATCAAGAGCATCATTGAACTTCACCTTCCCTCCAACCAGTTGCCCCAAACTCCCCTGCCCCCACCCTTTGTGTTCCCAATTCCTTCCTTAGTGAATGAAGAACTTAATCCCAAAAACCCTGGCACAAACTCCAGGTTTTCTTTCCCTAGCTCCTCCCCTCCCCCTGTCCCCCATTCCTAGAAGGGCAGGCACCTCAGTTTGAATGCATGGGAGAGCCCAGAGTGGTGACAGAGACAGGGGGAAAGGCTTCCCCCTCAGGGAAAGGGACCGAGGAGTACAGTGCAGTGAAGTGAGGGCTCCCATAGCCTGGGGTACCAAAATGGGGCCCTGGGGCCAGAGGAAAGGACACTGGTCCCCCTGAGAAAGGAGACCCAGCAGCCTCAAAATCCTCTCGTTGTGCATAGTCGCTGCTTGATCGCTTGCCCTTCTGGCGCCGGTTACAGAACCACACTCGGACCACCTGCCAGTGAATGACAGAAAGGAGAATGACATTAGACAATGAGCTGAGAGACGGGCCTGACTCTGCTTGGACATTCTATCCAAAGCCAACAGCCCTAGAGCAGTTAGAGGAGGACATTAGAGAATGAGCTGAGACAGGCCTGACTGCTTGGACATTCTGTCCAAAGCCAACAGCCCTAGAGCAGTTGGAGGAGCCAGAGCTAGGGAAAGCGAGGTGGTGACAGGGGAAAGAGATGGAGCCCGCAGAGAGACATGGCACTCACATCCTTCTCGAGCCCAAGCTGCTGGGCGATGTGGCTGATCTGCTGCAGTGTGGGTTTCGGGCACTGCAGGAACAAATTCTCCAGGTTGCCTCTCACTCGGTTCTCGATACTGGTTCGCTTTCTCTTTCGGGCCTGCACGAGGGTTTCTGCTTTGCATATCTGTGCAGGTGGGAAGGGGGTGACAAGGGCAAGCTTTGGACTTGCTGAGTAACAGCATCACAGGGGTCTGTGACTAGATGTGTCAGCAGAGCCAGGTGGTGGTGTGAAAAGGCAGGATCCTGGAAGGGTTGGCTCTGGACCTTATCCCAGCAGAACTGAGGAATTTCACTCCATCCCACTGAGAACCACTGCACCAAAGACGGAGAGCTACGAGCCAGTGATGGAAGCAATGGAAATTAGGCCAAGAAAGGGAAGGTCCCCGGGTATCCCCCTCCCACCCTTACCTCCTGAAGATTTTCATTGTTGTCAGCTTCCTCCACCCACTTCTGCAGCAAGGGCCGCAGCTTACACATGTTCTTGAAGCTAAGCTGCAGAGCCTCAAAGCGGCAGATGGTCGTTTGGCTGAATACCTTCCCTGGGGGAGGCCAGTCAAAAGAGAAGCAAAATGAGGGAGCACGCAGGGCCCTTGTGACCCTGAGATCCAAGCTTACCACCTCTTCCCAGAGGGAGCTCAAAGCCCAAGCATCTTCTCCCTCTCCCTACTCCTCTTCATGGGTGAGGGTAGAGTCTGCCCCTGCCCCTCCCCACTAGGTTCAGGGATACTCCTTAGAGGGGAGATGCGGTCAGAATCTGCAGAGGGGAACCCACCAAATAGAACCCCCAGGGTGAGCCCCACATCGGCCTGTGTATATCCCAGGGTGATCCTCTTCTGCTTCAGGAGCTTGGCAAATTGCTCGAGTTCTTTCTGCAGAGCTTTGATGTCCTGGGACTGGATTTTAAAAGGCAGAAGACTTGTAAGAACATAAACACACCAGTTATCAATCTCCCCTTTCCATTCGGGATTCAAGAACCTACGTGTGGCCCCAAGGAATAGTCTGTAGAAGTGCATCTGCCTTCCAAGCTGCCCACCTAACTTCTAGAAATAACCTACCCACAAATGTCATTCACCCATTCCCTGTTCACTGACTCATGCATGTAACAAAGGACTACTCTTCCCCCAGAAACTGGCACATCCAAGGGATGCAGAGCATCGTGAAAGGACAGAAAGAGAGACCCTGGCCTCGAGGAGCACACCTGTCAGGTTATGAAGGTTAGAAGTTCTTTGCTGGGCGCGGTGGCTCATGCCTATAATTCCAGCACTTTGGGAGGCCGAGGTGGGCAGATCACGAGGTCAGGAGTTCAAGACCAGCATGGCCAACATGGTGAAACCCCGTCTCTACTAAAAACACAAAAATTAGCTGGGCACGGTGGCACGCACCTGTAATCCCAGCTACTCAGGAGGCTGAGGCAGGAGAATCACTTGAACCCGGGAGGCGGAGGTTGCAGTGAGCTGAGATCACGCCACTGCACTCCAGCCTGGGTGACAGAGCAAGACTCTGTCTCAAAGAAAAAAAAAAAGAAGATAGTTCATTTAATACCTGCAAAATTCTCTCACTCAAGTATCACCCCCAGTTTAAGGATGTTTTGAGATTAGAGAAATAGATAAGCTGCTAAGTTCTGGGTTAATTAAAAAGGAAGAGCATCATGTCTCAGAAGCTAAATTCAGTATATACTCTCCCCAGCTTGCTTTGAGGGTCCCACAAACTATAACATGGCATGCATACACACAAACACAGCAAAAAAGTAACAGGTGTCATAAGAATGGATAAAGTGCTTTGTGTGTACTTACTCCTCATTTTTTAAATTGATTATCCCTCATCTTTACTGTATCTTTTTCACTATAGAGGCATCCTAATTGATTTTTAAATTCAAGAGATTTATCGAGCACCTTCTATAAGCCAGCGGCTATACAAAGTGGACAAAGAGCCCTGACATCCAGCATGACAGAAGTGCTATTTGGCACTTGTTCTTCAAGTTGCCCACTTGGATCTCTTCCAAGTGCACTTTCCTTTTTTCCCTGCCCTATAACTTTTTAATAATAAACTTCCACTCCTGCTCTGAAAAATAAAAAAGTAAATAAAATAAAAAATGGCCAGGCACAGTGGCTCATGTCTGTAAATCCTAGCACTTTGGGAGGCCAAGGTGGGCAGACTGCTTGAGCCCAAGAGTTAGAAAGCAGCCTGGGTAACATAGTGAGACCCGTGCCGCCCCTTCTCCCACCCCTGCTGCCTCTATTTAAAAAATATATATATATTATGGAAAAAAGCAAAGCAGTCCGGGCGCAGTGGTCATGCCTGTAATCCCTTCACTTTGGGAGGCCAAGGTGGGTAGATCACTTGAGGTCAGGAGTTCAAGACTAGCCTGGTCAACATAGTGAGACTCTGTCTCTACTAAAAATACAAAAATTAGCTGGGCATCATGGCGCTCCCCTATAATCCCAGCTACTCAGGAGGCTGGGGCAGGAGAATTGCTTGAACCTAGGAGGTGGAGTTTGCAGTGAGCCAAGATCGCACCACTGCACTCCAGCCTGAGGGACAGAGTGAGACTCCATCTCAAAAATTAAAAAAAAAATAAAGCAGTCTATAGGAGTAGGGTAAAGGAGGGAAGGAGATTATGGAGGAGGGTGACACTTTTAAAGACAGAGAAGGTGATTGTTTGAGCAAAGGACAAGAGTCTAATGTGGCAAGGCCCTGAAGTGGGCCTTCCAGAGCCCAAAGCTGGTCTGGTGGCTAGGTAGATCCTGTTGCAGACATAGTGACTTTGTTTTAGTCCAAGTGAAATGATCTCTCACCCTTTTTCTCCCCCCCCAAGACGGAATCTCGTTCTATCGCCCAGGCTGGAGTGCTGTGGCGTGATCTTGGCTCACTGCAATCTCCGCCTTCTGGGTTCAAGCTATTCTGCCTCAGCCGCCTGAGTAGCTGGGACTACAGGCACCCACCACCATGCCCGGCTAATTTTTGTATTTTTAGTAGATATGGGGTTTCACCATGTTGGCCAGGCTGGTCAGGAGACCTCAAGTGATCTGTCCACCTTGGCTTCCCAAAGTGCTGGGATTACAGGTGTGAACCACCGCACCTAGCCTCACCTTTTTTTTTTTTTTTTGAGAGTTTCGCTTTTGTTGCCTAGGCTGGAGTGCACTGGCGCGATCTCGGCTCACCGCAACCTACATCTCCCAGGTTCAAGCGATTCTCCTGCCTCAGCTTCCTGAGTAGCTGAGATTACAGGCATGCGTCACCACGCCCAGCTAATTTTGTATTTTTAGTAGAGATGGGGTTTCGCCATGTTGGTCAGGCTGGACTCGAACTCCCAACCTCAGGTGATTCGCCTGCCTCGGCCTCCCAAAGTGCCTGGCCACACCTTTTAAAACACTGACTCTAGTTGACGTGTTGGCCACAGACAGTAGGGAGGAAGCAGTATAATTTGAGAAGCTACTGCGGTAATCCCAGCAGAGATGATGGTGGCTGAGGCCAGGGTTAGGTTGTGATTGATTCAGGATGTTTCTTAAGGATAGGATGTAGGACGTGAAAGAAACTGAGGATGACTGGGTTTGGCCTTGAGCAACTGGGTGATCAGGGTGGAGCAGTTCAGGGAGCCATCACAAGAGACAGAAAACGCGGTAGTCATCTGGTGTCTAAATGGCATTTAAGCCTTGAGGGTGGGTGAGAGGAAGGAAGGGTAGATAGAGCAGAGGTTGAAGGACTGAGCCCTGGGGCATGCCATATGAGGCTGCCGGCGGACAGAGGTGCACAGCTAGTGAGAAAAAAACAAGGCCTTTTTGTAGTCCTGAAGCCTCAAGGAAGTGTTTCAATGGTGCTTGATCATATCAATTTCAAATAGGCTGTTTTCATCCCCAACTTCTGCTCAGCCAATAACTCAAACTGATAAATGCCCTCTGCTATCCTGGATTTTCCAAATTCTGTTTTGGGGTTTTGGAATAAACACTGGTCCAAATCCTCGCTTCATCATTTAGCAGTTAAAACCCGTTAAATAGGATAATAATACCTCCCCCTAGGAGATTTTGTGCTGGTTAATGAGATAATGATGTATAAACGGAGCACACAGCCAGGCACTTAGGAAGTGGACCACAATTGCCAGCCATTATCATTCAAGGCTCAGCAGTGACCTCCTGCGAAGAGGTTGGGGCTTCTCGGTCACTCCAGAAACCAGTCACACCTTTCTGTGAGGTCTCAAGGCTTAGTATTTAATCTCTAATTGCTTACACTTGTCGCCTTGGAGGACTGGAAGATACATCTTTAATAGTCCTCAGCAGGGCTGGATGCCTTCAATCCCGCAGCAGCTCTATATTTGCAAATGGCCTGGAGAAATCTCTCACCATTTTTCTTGTTTACAACTTTGGAACTGAGGCTGAAGTCAATCAAAATCCAGCTTTCTACAAGGGGTGCCAGGGTGTGCACCTTAACACAGTGGCCAGTCATTGGCCTGAGGCAGAGATCCGGGGAAGACAAGCCCTATACTTGACTGGAGGTAAACCCAGCTCACAACGCGCACACACACAGCCCAAACAGGAGATCCTATCAGAAACGAGTCACACCCTAGACTTTCAGGAACAATAATCCTGGAATGAGCACTGTTTTTACCCTCAGGCTATGCTTAACCCTAAGGCCAAAATCTTGGGTCTGATAAGGGTCAAATTTTCAAGCAGGACTAAGGGTGGGAAAAGGGGCTCAAACCAACCCCAAGCTGGGTCTGGTGCTGGGCCAGTAATGAGTGACCAGACCCTGGGCAGGCCTAGGAGATGTGAGAGACCCTGACAAGGGCTGGGCCAGACAGAGCAAAGGCCAGCCTGGGCCAGCTTCCGACTCTCCCAGGCCGCTCTGCCCTCACCTGCAGTTGTCTCTTCGAAATCCAGCTTCCAGTTCCCACCTGGCCCCTGCCTGCCAGGGCTGCCTGCAGTTGATACACACCCCTCCCTGGCCAGGGCAGCTGACCCTGCCTGCTCCTCTCCTGGGTGCCAGGTCTGGGCAGCTGCAGGTGACCACTTCCCCATCAGGCTGCCCTGTCATGACCACCTCCCCACACCCCAACCCCGTCGAAGCTCACTTGCCTCCTCCGGGTTTTGCTCCAGCTTCTCCTTCTCCAGCTTCACGGCACCAGGGGTGACGGTGCAGGGCTCCGGGGAGGCCCCATCGGAGTTGCTCTCCACCCCGACTCCTGCTTCACCCTCAGGCTGAGAGGTCTCCAAGCCGCCTTGGGGCACTAGCCCCACTCCAACCTGGGGCCCACAGTACGCCATCCCCCCACAGAACTCATACGGCGGGGGGCATGGGGGAATCCCCCACACCTCAGAGCCTGGCCCAACCCCCGGCCCGATTCCTGGCCCTCCAGGAGGGCCTTGGAAGCTTAGCCAGGTCCGAGGATCAACCCAGCCCGGCTCCGGCCCCCCTGGCCCATCACCTCCACCACCTGGAGGGGGCGAGAAGGCGAAATCTGAAGCCAGGTGTCCCGCCATGGGGAAGGAAGGCGCCCCAAGCCGGGGGCCTGGTGAAATGAGGGCTTGCGAAGGGACTACTCAACCCCTCTCTCCCTCCCCAGTCCCACCCACTAGCCTTGACCTCTGGCCCCGCCCCCTGGATGGGTGGAGGAGAGGGAGGTGGGGGGAGAAACTGAGGCGAAGGATGTTTGCCTAATGGTGGTGGCAATGGTGTCTGTGGAAGGGGAAAACCGGGAGACACAACTGGCGCCCCTCCAGGACCTCAGTGCAGGTCCCCCACAGAAACTTTTTTTATTTTTATTTTTTAAGACAGGGTCTCACTTTGTTGCCCAGACTGGAGTGCAGTGGAGTACAATGATGGCTCAATGTAGCCTCGATCTACTGGGCCAAAGCAATCCTTCTGCTCCAGCCTCCTAAGTGGCTGGGACTACAGGCTTGGACCACTGTGCCCTGTTAGTTTTTTTATTTTTAGTAGAGATGGGGCCTTGCTATGTTACCCAGGCTGGTCTTGAATTCCTGTCCTCAAGAAACCCTCCCGCCTCTGCCGCCCAGTGTCATGATTAAAGGCGTGAGCCACCACACCCAACTTTCAACTCCCAACCCGCTCCCTGGCACTCTCTCAGGCTCTGCACATCCCAGCTGTCTGGAATCACTCCCACACCTCCATGTTCTTCAGGAACCCAGGTGCTTGACCCCCTCTCCACAGACCTCTGGCACTGTGCCTTCAGGGGCCAGTCACCCTCTCAGCTCCTCAAATTTATTGAATGTGTGTGTGGCGCTATCCCTCAATGCATCAACAGCCATAAGCACAATGGCCAGCTGCTCCCTTATGCCTTCCCCCGATCCATCCAGAATCCTAGGCATTCCCATCCCGATACTGGCCAAATCCAGCCACCCCGCAGCCTGGGTGCCTGGCACCATCTGCCCAGCCTGCCAAATTTCACCCCATCTTCAAGAGTAGACTGCCAGACAAGGCCTCCGTGCTATATCCCCCCACCCCCCATCCCCCCACCCCTCCGTCTTCCAGAATCAGACTCCAGACTCTCCTCATCTAACAGACTAAGGGGTTGGCCCCTACTTCCCCTTCAAGGGACCAGACTTTGGACTGATTGGGCCTCAGTTTCCCAACCTTTGCTGAAACAGAGTGATAAGACACCCGCTTTGGGCCCCCTCCACTATGGAACCTGCACATCAGGTTCCTTGCTCCCCTCTCAACCAAAACTCAGACATCTAATACCACGGTAGGCCCCGTTCTCCCTCCCCCACCTCCCTGGCCCAGGCCTCCAGCCCTAGGCCCTGGGTGGGGAAAACCAGGGGGTGGGGGGTGTGGAGAAAAAATATCTGACTTCAGGTTCAAAGAAGCCTGGGAGGGACTGGGGGAAGGGGGCAGGACAATGGCCTTGGCTGGACAATCCCGGTCCCCAGAGGGGGCAGCTCTAACCCTAAACAAGTGCTCAACCCTTGAATGGGCCTGGATGGCTCCCCTGGGGACTGCTTCCTGCTCCCCAACCCCCCAGTCCCAATCCCCTCACACAGAATCCCCTTCAGAGACGCTAAAAGGAGCTCCAGCAACCCCCCTCTGCAATCCCCTCAAAGACTGAGCCTCAGACGGGCACCAAGGGCCCCCTACAGGGACCTAGGTATCTAGTTCCTCCTTCCTCTGGGGAACTCAGGCGTCCAGCTTCATCGTGCATCCCTCCCCGAGCCCGGAAGATTGAGGGATGTGCTTTGTTTAGTGGGGCTGGCTGGCAGAAAGACGCAGAGGAGGTGGCGAGTGATTTGTGGAGGGGTGCAGGAAGGCTGCCCTAAGCTCCCCTTCAGGGTCTGTTTTTCTGGGCCTGGCCTGAGTATCCTGAGGCTCATGCTGCTGGTCTAGTGCTTGATTCTGTTTGCAAGAGAATAGCCAACGGAATGCCTGTCTGTGAGGGATGATGTTTGTCTGTCTGCTCCCAAAACTTGATCTCAGTGGAGGGCCTGGGGTAAGTCTGGGGGCTCCAGAGGGGGCTCTGGGCCAGGGCTCCCCACAGCTTCGAAGGCCAGAAGGCCAGGTCTGGACTGGGCACGCTGACCTCTGTCGACTTAAGTAAGGCTTCTCATTGCAGGCTCCAGGCTCAGCCCTGCCTGGGCTTGTCTGCTGGGGTCAGTGGCTCTGTCTGCCTTCTAAGGGGATGGGTGTCCCGTGGCCAGCTGTCTTCATCTTGGTGGCATCCGTGAGTCTTTTGAGACTTTTCCCCCACTCTTATGTTGCCTCTGTTCGTGTGCCCATCTCCTGTCTGTGTAGACTTTTTGAGCCTAATTGTATGCGTGCATTTCAATACCTGCCACAGGTCTGCCGGAAGGTCTACAAGGCAGTGGGGTTGGAGCTGTGTTCACTTCTCGGCCTTTAACTGCCCAAAAGGCAGGTAGATTATGGGGCCTGGTGGGGGTGGGAGGAACATGCTTCGGAACAGGAGGAGGCCCCTCCCCAGCCATCTCAATCCCCAGGACAGAACCATCACGGCACCTTTGTCATGCATCTCTCTGCTGTCTGCCAAGAAGACGGCCTCTCAGAGGAGGGGGAGGGGCAGGCCTGGGATTTGGCTGGAATCTCCACACCAGTGTTTCTCAGCTTGCCATCCTCCAGGTTCCCCAAAAGCGCTCTTCCCAAGCCAGTCCAGAGAGTCCCTGCTGCCCATTTTCCTAGTGGCTCCTAAAACACCTTCCCCAATTTCCCCACTCAACACCACCCTCTTGTTTTTAGATTATAATTTGTACTGTAGGTGGTGTATTTCTGGCCTGGGCAAGAGGCCCATTCCCGAGAGGGACGCAGACAAGGGGTGGGTGCCTGGGTCCCTGGCTGCCTTGTGGCTGGATATGAGCCCAGTCAGGGGTCAGCCTCCTGCATGCCTAGACTCCTAGCCGGCCCCCTTCTGGGGTGCTCAGGGCTGATGGGAGGTTGAGGCAGGCTTTCCTTCCTTCTCACTGTCCTGTTATGCCTGAAGGGTAGGTGGCTTCACTTCAGCCAAGGCCAGCTCTCCCAGGCCCCAACCAGTGCTGGGGGCCACCGTTGGGCCTGGAGGAGACTGGAAGCCAGGCTGAGTCATCAGAACTGGTCCCATGATTCCCTGGGTTTTAGAAAGTCACCATAAAAAGATACTTCACATACACCTTTATTATTACAGTGCAATGTCAAGACCCTTCACAGAGCACTGCCAGGGGACCCAGGTGAGGCCCACCTCTCCCCACCAGGTGTGGCGGCTGGCATGGCTGGGTGGGGAGAGGTGAGATGAGCAGCCTTGCTGCTGTCAGCCCAGCCTTCCCTTCCCCTCACTGGGAGATGAGGTGCTGTTTGGTTGAAAAACCAGCTGAAAAAACTCAGTTGGGACCAATAGAGACTTGCTCTCGACCCGGTCTAGGAAACCACTTATTTTGACTTCCGAGGCCTGTCAATCTGAAGGCAAAAGAAAGGGAAGAAATGGAGGGCTGAGGGTTCAGGCTTGGCCCACCTTGGGAGATGATCTCCCTTAATAGCAATTTAGACAAATTCCTTTGCTCACTGTGGACCAAGTCCCCTCTTCTCAACAAAGGACCCTCTGATCTCCCCCATGAGACCTGCAAACTGAGGTCACCTTATCCCAAATCCAGACACTCTTACCTCAAATAGAGGAGTCAACTCTCTAGCTGTAGCCTGTAGGGAGTCAGAGGTGAGAGCAAAAGGAGTGGGTGAGCTGGGAGGATTGGTCAGGAACAAACTAGGAGGCATGGACCAGGTTCTAAGTCCTGGCTCTGACTCCCTGGCTAATGGCACCTCCCCCTCCTGTGCCTCAGTTTCCTCACCTAGTAAAGAGGATTTGGACTCAATGAACTCTAAACTTCCTTCCAACTAAGACATAAAATTGCTGCCCGGCTCTCATATGCCCTCCCATCTACCCACCCCCCTTACTTGACATGGGAATGTAGACTTCTCTGCACACCTGTGAAGAGAAATGGGGGTAGGAAAGCTGGGAGTGGTGTTCAATGAGAAGTTGGCATAGGCCTCCCTGTACCCTGCCACCTACCTCCAAGCATCCTTCCTGGGGAATCTGGCAGGTTTTCCCCTGAAGTTTGATCAAGAGATATAGGAGGAGGCCGGGAGCGGTGGCTCATGCCTATAATCCCAGCACTTTAGGAGGCTGAGGCGGGCGGATCACTTCAGATCAGCAGTTCGAGACCAGCCTGGCCAACATGGTGAAACCCTGTCTCTACTAAAAATACCAAAAGGTGGTTTTTTTGTTTGTTTGTTTTGTTTTTTTTGCATGTGGTGGTGCATGCCTGTAATCCCAGCTACTCAGGAGGCTGAGAAACAAAAATCGCTTGAACTCAGGCAGCAGAGGGTGCAGTGAGCTGAGATCGAGCCACCGCACTCGGCAACTGCATTGCTACATGCCTCCAAACCCCAGCTGCTCATCTGAGGTTGCACAGAGACTCAGCATCAGCCTGGTGCATCACCAGACAGGAGAGCCTATGCTCACGTCAAAGGGATCACAGCAGACTGCTGGCTCTGGGCATCTGAGCAGCGCCATGCAAGGGGGCAAGTGGCTTAGGGTTCCAGGGACTCAGGGGCTGGGGCAGCCCATCCCTCAGCTAAGTTAGCTGGACACTGGAGGATAGAAGTCAAGGGCCTAGCATGTTGGGATGGCTCCTCTCCAGGGGCTTTGCAGAGAGTCCCATGCACCAAGGGGGCTAGCGGGACAGGGAAAAGTGGTGGCAAAGACCTCCCAGACAAACTGGCTGCCTCTGGTCCTATCAAGCTGCCGTACATCCTCCACACCAGGGCTTTAGGCACCATTCCACTGTGTTCCATGGTGACTGTAGGTGATGCCCCACCTTGAGAGCCCTTGGGTGCTCAGCCCTGGGTCAGAACTTGAACACCAAGTGGGAAAAGGGCTGACCAAGCACGGGAGAGGGAAGGAAAGCAGAGTGGCTAGGACGGTCAGCAACAGAGCTGTGTTCATTTAGGACATGGGTATTGAAATGGAGTTTTGAAGGCTGGCTGAGGGGCCTGCACTCCATCCCTCCCACAGTGCCCTCAGCTCCTCCACCTTCCCCACATGAACCAGTCCGCACCTATCACACCTACGGTGGGCCGTGGTCCCACCCCAGCTTTCAGGTGTTTCCGGAGAGGGTAGACGCAGCTCTAGGTCAGGAAGGATTGTTTCCTTCCCTTCTCTCCTTCTGCAGCTCTGCTTGGTTCTGGCTGGCTTTTGCTGGAGTTGAAAGACTCAAGTGTGCTAAGAAGGGAGTCCTGGCCATGACAGTTGTAGTGCCAGTGTCCCCAGCTGCTCCGGTTCCCCAGCAACTCACAGACAACCGTGGTCTGGAGGGTGTGTGACTCTGAAAAGCCAAAACCCCAGAACTCCAAAGTTACAAGAGGTCAAAACAGTGGCTCTCTCCACCTCCGCTCCTACCTCCTCCCAAAATGCATGAAATTCCCTTCCTCTGACTGATAAACCCTCACTCATTCTCCAAGACATATCTTCTCTGTCAACCACATCCCCACCAAAGTCACACTGCACCCGCTCTCCCTCCCCTGCAGCATGTGGCTCCCTCCCATGTACCCAGCATGCACTGTTCAGCCACATATACTCACCCACCCTCCTGAAGGCCCAGCACAGACAGCATTGTGTTTAAATCCCTGATCTACACATCAGCTACTGGCTATATGCCCACGGCAAATGTAATGGAACCTCTCCAAGCCTTGCTTTCCTCATTTGGCAACTGGACACAATTATAGTCTCTACCACACAAGTAAAGATAACATGAGATAATCCTTGCCAGTGTTAATGTAGGACCTACCAAGAAGAATTCAAGAACTAGTAGCTGCTATTGTAAGGTGTATTATTGGTAACAGCAAAATGAACAGCACTTACTAGGCTTAAATGTTTGCTAGATGAAAAAAAATGATATTGGTTAGAAATATATTTTGCTCAGGTCACCAGGTTTCTTATTAACTACTGGTGGTGGCGAGAGAGGTGAATGTCAGAAAAAGGCCAGTTTTTCCCATTTCCTGGATTTGAGAAAGTTGGATAAATTTTTTTCACCTGGCCGGGTGCGGTGGCTCACGCCTGTAATCCTAGCACTTTGGGAGGCCCAGGCAGGTGGATCACGAGGTCAGGAGTTTGAGACCAGCCTGGCCAACATGGTGAAACCCCATCTCTACTAAAAATATAAAAATTAGCCAGGTGTGGTGGCAGGCGCCTGTAATCCCAGCTACTCAGGAGGCTGAGGCAGGGGAATCGCTTGAACCTGGGAGGCGGAGTTTGCAGTGGGCTGAGATCGGGCCATTGCACTCCAGCCTGGGCAACAAGAGCAAAAAAATAACAGACTTTTTTCACCTGAAGGGAAGGCTTGGGAGCTTAAGGACAATGGCTTCTTTCTTAGAGACCTAGTCCTTGACTGAGGGAAAGGGTGAGGGTCTTATACTTCTTTTTTTTTTTTTTTTTATTGAGACAGAGTCTTGCTCTGTCACCCAGGCTGGAGTGCAGTGGCACGATCTCGGCTCACTGCAAGCTCCACCTCCCGGGTTCATGCCATTCTCCTGCCTCAGCCTCCCGAGTAGCTGGGACTACAGGTGCCTGCCAGCGCACCCGGCTAATTTTTTTTGTATTTTTAGTAGAGACAGGGTTTCACTGTGTTAGCTAGGATGGTCTCGATCTCCTGACCTTGTGATCCACCTGCCTCGGCCTCCCAAACTGCTGGGATTACAGGCATGAGCCACCGCGCCCAGCCAGAGGGTCTTATACTTCTGTCCTACTCTTGCTAATACCTAAGACCCAGTCCTTTTGGCACCACTGGGTACATAAAACAAGGTTTGAGTCAGGGATGAACTCCCCCAGGCAGGAGGAGATAGCATCAGGATCTCAGTGAAGTGGGATGGTATCTGAGTGCCTAGCACAGTGCCCCACGCAGAGCTCAATGCATCTTAGCTGAACAATAACGAATGCAGCTGCACATCTTCAGGCCCATATTGAGCTCTTCTCTCTTTTCTGCCTCCTCCTGAGCCCCCAAGCCCAATCACCTTGGCTCTGGTTGTTGTGTGCCATGATGCTCCCCAGGATGGTGACAAGGTGCTGGGCTCTGGCCTTCAGTCTGAGAACCAGCTTCTCCCAAGCTCTTGGGTCCCTGGCCTGAGCCCAGGATGCACGGGGCTCTGCCCACCTGCCCTCCTTGCAGCATCATAAGAAAGGGTGGTCATCCAGGTAGCCTGAGACTTCGTAAGGGGCTTGCCCAGGGCTGGGCTGGGAAAGAGTAATGAAGTCATAGCACAGAGAGTGGGTTGCTGAGGAAAAGAGAATGATGGGAAAGGGTTATTTTCCAACAGGAGTCTTACCTGGGAGACACTGCACAAGGTGCCTGTGTGGTGAGGCTGTGTGACTATTTTTGAGGGCACCAAAGGAGTGGGTAAGGGGAATGCAGACTGAACAATGGGAAGGGAATCTCTTGTTTCCCTGCAGGGCCTCATCTAGGCTCATTGTTTTAAATAGTAATGACTCCCAAATCTCTTCATCCCTGTTCTTCACATCGGTATATCCAACTACCTACCTGTTGGTCATCTGGACCTAAGGTTCCATATGGCCTTAAATCTGACACATCCAAAACTGAGTATTTCCTCTTGGCCCTGGCCATGGAACAACCTGCCTCTCATCCTATATTCCTGGTGAGTGGCATCATCCTCTCACCTGCCTGCTTACTCAAGCCAGAACTGGGTTGAGGTGTGGGCAACTACCGGATGTCATGTAGCCTCCTGGCACAATAGCATGAAGTGAGCTGAGAGGTCATGGAACAAAAAGGCTCACAGACCAAATGTAAATGCTCAAATAACATCGTTTATTAAATAAATGTAAAACACATTCTGAGAAGCAGGAGGCAGGTGCTGGGGTGGGTCAACACACGGGAGAGGGGGCAAGTTGGGTGGAATGATCACACCAGCTGAACTGTGGGTCATGCAGTGTGCATCCATCCTGTCAAATTGAAACCTCCTGCATCCTGAGTGCCTCATGTCTCACGTATTTAGGGTACCGTGAATATTTAGTGCCTCCTTGGTCTTTCTGTCCCTTTTGATCTCTGTACACACGAATATGTTGTACTATCTACAGATGACTAATTTAGTTATCTATGTGTAACACTTCTTTTGAGTTTATTGTTTTCCTGTCTTCTACAGCAGAATTGGATATTCCCAAACAATCGGCAAGTCTGGTGTTTATCCTAGAGTGCTGCCTCCCTTCACACCCCCTAGTTTCAAACAGTCAGCAAGCCCTGCCCATTTTTAACTTCCTGTTTCTCCAATCTGGACATTCCTCTACCTCCACCAAACCAGCCCATAGTATGGCTTGCTTGGATTATAGCCAGAGTCTTTCTAACTGGTCTCTCTCCCTCCAGTCTTAAGCATATAAAATCTGTCCTCCTTGATATAATCAGAGTGATCTATCCAGAAATACATATCAGACCGCATACCTCTCTGCTCTTCCTCTAAGGATTCCCCTTTTGTCCTCGGGATGGTTTCCAAGCTCCTTAGCAAGCTAAACAAGGCCCCTTGAAGGCTGCCGTCTCCACCCTCATCTCCCACCACACCCTGCCTTCACCTGACCCACTTGGAACAGGAAGGTTGGAGCACCTCCATACTCCTGCAGTTCCACCTCCCAGTGCCTTCCTGAGATGGTCCCCTGAAGGGAAGACCCATCCTTCCCTTCTCCAAACACCACTTAAACCACTTAAACCCTTTCATTAAACCCTTACCCTGGCCTCAAACCATCTACCACGCTGCTGTACCCCTTTATTTCAGAGACGGCTCTGACTCTCACTCAGAGGTGACACTCACCCTACCACTTGTCTATGGCTGTGCATCCCTCTTGGGGCCATCTCTTGTGGACAAGAATATGAGCCACATTCTTCATATATGAGAAAATTACACCAATCTCAGAGGATTAGAGGTCATGCCAAAAAACACACCTGGTAGTTATGTTTAAATATATTTTTAAGGCTGGGTTAAAAACCACGATGAGGCGAAACCCCATCTCTACTAAAAAAATACAAAAATTAGCTGGGCCTGGTGGTGCACGCCTGTAATCCCAGCTACTCAGGAGGCTGAGACAGGAGAATCCCTAGAACCCAGGAGGCGGAGGTTGTAGTGAGCCGAGATTGCACCACTGCACTCCAGCCTGGGCGACTGAGTGATTCTCCGTCTCCAAATATATATATACACACACACACATACGTATATATATGTGTATATACATATATATATATTTTTTTTTTTAACAAACATAGCTGCTATCATTGGCTCCTTTTCTCTTTTTTTTCGAGACGGTCTCACTCTGTCACCCACATTGAAGTGCAGTGGCACAATCATGAGGCCCACCCCAACCTCTGCCTCCCAGGCTCAAGCGATCCTCCCACCTCAGCCTCCAGAGTAACTGGGACTACAGGCGTGCACCACCACGCCTGGCTAATGTTTTTGTATTTTCTGTATTGACAGGTTTTCCTCATGTTCCCTGGGCTGGTCTCAAACTCCTGTGTCCAAGCAATCCTCCGCCCAGCTCGGCCTCCCAAAGTCCTGGGATTACAGGCATAAGGACCTCCTACGGCCAAGTTTAAGCTTCAAGTGGGAGACATGGGACAATTACTTACCAGATACAACCAGTTTCAGAGGAAGCCCTACCTACCCTCTAAGCCTGACCTTATCTTGCAACCTCCATCGCCCCAGACCTCCCCCGGCTCCAAAAAGCACTCCCAAGAGGCCTCATAAAGGCCACAGTTTGGGGAAGGTTATGGCTCAGGGGAAGGGGAGAGGTGCTAAATAATTAAGCCCCCCTACTACTCAGCACCCGCGTGAGGCATCGTCAGGCATCGTCAGGCCTCCAGTGGTGGTGGTGGCACCGGGCCTCAACCTCCCCGGAGGGCTGGACTCTCGCTGCCAGGCTGTGGGGATCAGGCGTTGTGGGGGAGGGGGACACTTAACAGGTATGGAGGGCGGAGCAGAGCCCCGCAGTCACTGGCCTGACTTCCGGAACGAACCGTCGCCAGCAAGCACAGCAGTAGGACCAGGGGGATGCAAGAGCGGGGGCGGCCGGGGATCGTGCTTCTCGCTCAGGTCCAGATTCCCGGCAACCAGGCCGGCGGAATCACGTGCCATGCTCCAGGCCAGCGTAGTCCCGCCCATCTTCCAGCTGAGCGTACCGGGAGGCTCCCATTGGACTGGAGCTGCTACGGAGGCGGGACTTTCCCTTTTTCTTGAACCCCATTGGGTTAAGTCCAGTCCGAGACAAGCGTCTCTCCTCAGCAGTGGGAGGGGTGATTTGGCTCATCCATACTTAGGAATTTGGGGTTTGAGGCCGGGTGCGGTGGCTCACGCCTGTAATCCCAGCACTTTGGGGGGCCGAGGCGGGCGGATCACAAGGTCAGGAGATCGAGACCATCCTGGCTAACACTATGAAACCCCGTCTCTACTAAAAAAATACAAAAAAATTAGCCGGGTGTGGTGGCGGGCACCTGTAGTCCCAGCTACTCGGGAGGCTGAGGCAGGAGAATGGCGTGAACGCTGGAGGCAGAGCTTGCAGTGAGCAGAGATCGCGCCACTGCACTCCAGCCTGGGCGACAGAGCAAGACTCCGTCCCCCCAAAAAAATAATTTGGGGTTTGAGACCCGGCGCGGTGGCTCACGCCTGTAATCCCAGCATAATCCCAGCACTTTGTGGGGGGCCGAAGCGGGCGGATCACCTGAGGTCAGGAGTTGGAGACCAGCCTGGCCAACATAGCGAAACCCTGGCGCGCACTTGTAAACCCAGCTTCTCGGGAGACTGAGGAAGGAGAATCGCTTGAATCCGGGAGGCGGAGGTTGCAGTGAGCCGATATAGCTAGCGCCACTGCACTCCAGCCTGGGCGACAGAGTGAGACTCCGTCTCAAAAAAAGAGAGAGAATTTGAGGTTTAAGTTGTCTCTCCTTGGTCGCTGTGCAGTCGAGTGTTTTTATGTTCAGACCTCTTCCTGCCCATTTTATTTATTTAATTTATTATTTATTTATTTATTTATATTTTTTGATATGGAGTTTCACTCTTGTTGCACAGGCTGGAGTGCAATGGCGCGATCTCGGCTCACTACAACCTCCGCCTCCCAGGTTCAAGCAATTCTCCTGACTCAGCCTCCCTAGTAGCTGGGATTACAGGTGCCTGCCACCATACCCCACTAATTTTTTGTATTTTTAGTAGAGATGGGGTGTGTGTATACATATATATATATATATATATATATATATATAGCAAGTAGTCAAGAGCTAGTCTATTTTGATAGATAGCATTTCTCATCAGAGTCTCTTGCCGGGCAAGAACAGTCAAGGTTTGACGGGTTTTATTAGTAATAATTTCTAAACAGCTTGCAACCATATGATTCGGTTGAGCATGTAGATGGGGGTTCGATATCCTCATGAGCCATCTTGTGTCTAAGTGGCAGGCCTATAGTATTATATAATTTTTTTAGGAGGTCATTTATCATCTTTCCAATTACCTATGGCTATGCTTCGTTTTTCGCAGGAAGCATAGACTGGGAAGCCCAGAAGTTTACCTGTTTTTATGGGCAGTAAGAAGAAAGATGGCTTAATGGTGCCAATTACACAGCTACCTGTCCACTGATCAGGGAGCTTAGCATAAGCTCTGCGTATAACCCGGTGGGGGCTGTCCAGTCCCGGTGGAGTTCTGGGTGGGCCCAAACAGTCTGCAACTTTGGAAATTTACTGAATGGATTTCTTTCTGTGTAATTGGAACTCCACCATGTAACTTTTTGTGGTACCATTATACAGTTTTTGCCCAAGACAACTAAGCCGCCAAACAGGATCTTTTTTATCTTCTTTTTAAGTAGCCCAAATGACACAAGACCAGTATTGACACATCTCACATAAATACAATTCTTGACAGATACACTTATTTTTTTTTTACTGTGTCACTTTTTTTTTCCAATTTAGAGAACCGCATCCTATTCCATGCTGCTTACTATCAATAGCGGCACAAGCACCAAATTTTAAGGTTACATTTTTGGGGGCCCCTCTTTTTTCCGTTCTAGCTATTACCTTACTTGTGTCACCTAGAAAAGGACCAGTCCTTAATTTTATTTTAAAAACTGTGATCACGGGAGGCTTAAAATGGGTCATAACACACATCAGGTTGGTTATTCCCTGGGCTACATACCTTGGATAGCATTATACAAACAAGTTTCTTTTAGAGTCCTGGTACACTTATAATAACCATAAAATAATAGGACTGTAGCAATTTTTGTCCTACCTCAGTGACTTGATGTATATACTGGAAACAGTTCTCAATCTGAGGAAGGTCAGTTGAAGTCCTTACTGTACAAGTCCAAATTTTAAGGAAAATGAGTCCCGCAATGAGTTTCCTCATGCTTCGCCTGTGCGTGGACCAGTCAGCTTCTGGGTGTGACTGGAGCAGGGCTTGTCTCCTTCTTCAGAGTCACTTTGCAGGGGTTGGCAAAGCCGCTCCCATCCACGTACAGCTCCCAGTCTACTGATGTTTAAGGGTGGTCTCGGAGGTTAGGCCTACTAGAATAAACTGAGTCCAGCACCTCTAAACAGTTATGTTTAACTGGGCTCTCTGTTACCAGGAGTAAGGTGGCTGGGTTAGGGTGTTGGAAACTTCAATGGTTTTGTGGGGATTTTCACAGAGCAAGGTTTGGTATCTAGTTAGTCTAGCATTTATTAGCTAATGATGTCCTTTGGTATTTATTAAAGTCACCACAGCATGGGGAGACTTTCTGTTTAGGTTTTGCCTAAGAGTTAGCTCATCTGCTTCTTGTGCTAACAGGGCAGTTGCTGCCAGGGCCCTTGGACATGGGGGCCAGCCTTTGGAAACCCCGTCTAGTTGTTTTGAGAGATAGGCCCCTGGCCTTGACCAGGGCCCTACAGTCTGGGTTAAAACTCCAACTGTCATTTTTTCTCTTTCTGACACACAGAGTGTAAAGAGTTTTGTCAGGTCAGGTAGCCTCAGGGCTGGGGCCGACATGAGTTTTTCTTTTTAACTAATGAAAAGCTCTTTGCTGTTGGTTGTAATAGATGTAGTTTATCTAATCTACATTTTTGTTGACTGTCATCTACTAAAATATTGACTTAAATCCTGTAACTATTTGATTTCAAGCTTTAAATTGATCTGGTATTCCTTGTGGGGCTCCAATTGCATTTAAGTAGATGTGAGAATTGAAAGACCTATAAGGGGCTTCTCTCGTTTTATGATGTCTTACTTTTTTTTTCCTCTGGTTGATGAAATGCCAGGGTGAAAGGGATAGCCAAATGGACTAAAGCACAAGTGCCACTCTAGTTATTCAGCAGAGTGCCCAGTAAAGGTCCACCCCGATACCACCACACATCCTCTCGGGGATGAACAAGGGCTGACTGATTGATAAGCTCTTGGAAACTCTTAAGCTCACTGCATCCCTTCAGGTCTCCAAGGAATGCTAAATCTCCTCCCTGCCGTGAGAGACAAGAAGTGAACTTAGTGTTGGGAGATGGAAGCTGGATGGCCCTCGGGGGCTGACCCACAGAGACTTCGGGATATAGCAGAGAGAGCTTGGCATGACTTATTACTCCAGGCTGTAGAATCCTGGAAAAGAGCTACCATGCAGCCCACACCTGGTCGACTGGAGGACCACCTTAGTGGAAGAGGGACAATCAGGGCCTCTGGCCTGCCATGTGCACAAGCATAACAATTGATTTTGTTTAACGTGCAGATGGAATATTTAATCCATTCCAACCAGGCATTTGCATCTTGGTATGCTGTCTTAACTGCCAAAGTTTGTTTTAAGTCTTTAACTTCTATGATCCTCTAGTAAAATGAATGTTTCCTTTAGCATCTATTTTTATTAGTTTTTAGACCAAAGAAAGCTAAACACCATTTTATATTTAATAATGCTTCTTGTATGATTTTTATACCAGGTAAGCTAAATTTTACCTTTATATTAGTGTGTTATTAATGTTAAACTTAATTTTAATAAAACTTTGTAGACATATTTATCCAATTTTTCATGTTTGACCATAAGGTAAGGTTTTATAGACTCTTTTTAACCTTTTATAATTTTTGTTAAAGAGCAGGTTGATGCTTTAAGAAAAACCTGTCACATTTTTACTTTAATGTCCAGTTCACAGAAAAACTGGATGATACCTTTTTAACTTTAGCTAATATGTTTACACACAGAATTTTCTTTACAATTAACATTTTAAAATTTGCTTACACTTTCAAAACAATAATTTTTTTAACCTTTTAATGTAGGTAAAAATCCACATTCTTATGCCTCCTTATAATCTTTTTACCAAAGGTATATTTTACTTTTCTTATACACCTTGCACATAAACTGTTTTTTTTTTTTAAATAGTACTCAGGAGGCCTTATTACTTTTAAATTACACAATATTTTTTGCATAAATTTTTTTATAAAATTTTTTCTTTCACGACTTTCGCCGACAATTCTTCAACATGTCTCAACTTTCTGACTTATTACAAACATTTTTTTTTCTTTAAACAACCAGTTAATTTATTTCAGGACAAGAATTTACCATATAACACTCTTTTTACATAAATTCTGCCTCCCCCGCTTTTTTTTTTAAAGTGAACTTTTTTTTTGTCTTTGGACTAGACCGTCTAAGGCCACAAGATTAGAAGTTACCATAATACATGTTATACTGTTAATTTTTAGCAAACTTCACTTTTGTTGAAAACCTTGTAAGTTTGGGATTTCAATTATCCTTTGCTATTAATAAGACCTTGTTTAGTCTAAATTAACTTAGAATTGGTATAGATGGCCTTTTTTTCTCTCTGCTGGTCTTTCCTTGCCTCTGCCAGATGCTTATGCTACTGTTCTCTTAACTACTGTAGGGGGAAGGGGGTCTAAAACCAGCTGTAACTGTCTATGTACAGAAACTGGTCTGGATGCCTTGGCTTACAGGTTACTTTGTGTCATACCTTTGAAACAAGGGACCTGTCCAGGCTTCCTTCTGATGGCCAACCCACCTCTAATGCTGGCCAGTCTATTTCACAAGTTCTAAGTTTTCCTGGTGTCACAGTAACATCGTAATCTCCCTTAAATTCTTTCTTGAAAAAAAAATTTTTTTAACATAGTTCCTAGTGGGGTGGGCTTATTTGTGCCTGACCCATGCTTCTTCGAGACAAAACACCACGCTCACACCACACGTGCACTACAAAACAAAAAAACAGGGCACACACACTTTTGCAGTTTACACCAAACCAAAATCAGAGTATCCAAAAACCCAAGCCAGGTCAAAACCAAAACCAAAACCAAAGTATCACACAATCTAAGTCAAGTCAAAACCAGAATAAAAGTGCCAGTACAGGCACACCATGGGTGATCAGGCCATGCTTCCACTCAGATGGAGTGGGGCAAGTTCCAAAGACTAGTCTTACCAAGTTTCAGATGTCCGGACTCCAAGTGCCAGTTCCTTCCCAGTGTTCAGCCAGTGTGTTAATCCTCCTCGGGGGCCTGCTACGTGCTGCTCTGGCGAGGCGTTCCACCCGGGGAATTTCCTACCCGGGAGCGCTCTTTGGATCGCGTCACTCAGGCTGGCCAGAGTCCACCGCAGGGATGCTCCACAGGGCAGGCCTAAGCCACCCAAGGGGCTGCCTTGGCCGTCCGTCAGTTACCTCGCTTCCTGTTCAGGGAACCAAGAAATGTAGCAGGACGAGCCCCAGACAAAACCTTTCAGACACCGAGTTGTAGAAGGAAGGGCTTTATTCAGCTGCGAGCATCGGCAAGCTACTGCCTTAAAATCCAAACTCCCTGAATGCACAATTTCTGTCCCTTTTAAGGTCTCACAACACTAAAGATTTCACATGAAAGTGTCGTGATTGATTTGAGTACGCAGGTGGTACGTGACAGGGGCTGCATGCACTGGTGGTCAGAGAGAAACAGAACAGGGCAGGGAGTGTCACAATGTTCTTCTATACAATGTCTGGAAACTAGGAAAAACATCGCGTTCTAAGTCATGGGTTGATTTTTAACTACTGGGTTTAGGCCAGGCAGGCCCAGGCCTGGTTTTGGGCCTGGCGCCAGGCTGCCTGTCTTTGGTTTTACTTCCTTGTTTTTTCTTAAAACAGATACTGAGTATAAAGCAATATAAAACAATACGAAAGGGTCTCTCTCTTCCCTCAAAGGGAATAGGCTGCTGTGGAGAAAGGTAAATAAATGGTGGAAAGAATTACATGGGGGATTAACTAATCTGTATACCAAATCCCCACGACAGGCAATTTACTTCTATAACAAACCTGCTCATGTAAAAGGTTTTTGGCCGGGCATGGTGGCTCACGCCTGTAATCCCAGCACTTTGGGAGGCTGAGGTGGGTGGATCACTTGAGGTCAGTAGTTTAAGACAAGCCTGGCCAACATGGTGAAACTCCATCTCTACTAAAAATACGAAAATTAGCTGGGCATGGTGGCACGCACCCGTAGTCCCAGCTACTCGGGAGGCTGAGGAAAGGGAATGGCTTGAACCTGGGAGGGGGAGGTTGCAGTGAGTCGAGATCATGCCACTGCACTCCAGGCTGGGTGACAGAGTGAGACTGTGTCTCAAAAAAAAAAAAAAAAAAAAGCAAAAAGTTTTTAAAAGAAAATAGTGGAAAGACAGAGACCCTAGAAGAGGGAGAAGGCCTAAGGCAATTTCTTCTTCCTCTCTTCCCCATCATTCTTTCAGCCACTGTGGAGAGAGGGAGAGTACGGGGTGCAGGGTAGATGAGAGTAGACAATTCTGATTATTTGAGGAGGGTTTGTGGTTTAGGAAGTGAGCTTCTCACCGATTTTATTTATTTATTTTGAGACGGAGTCTCACTCTGTCACCCAGGCTGGAGTGAGATCTCAGCTCACTGCAACCTCCACCTCCCGGGTTCAAGTGATTCTCCTGCCTCAGCCTCACGAGTAGCTGGGACTACAGGCATGCACCACCATGCCTGGCTAATTTTTTGTATTTTTAGTAGAGATGGGGATTTCACCATGTTGGCCAGGCTGGTCTCAAATTTCTGACCTCAGGTGATCTGCCCACCTCGGCCTCCCAGAGTGCTGGGATTACAGGCGTGAGCCCCGCACCTGGCCTAAAAACTTTTATATTAAGTTCAGGGGTATATGAGCAGGTTTGTTATAGAGATAAATTTCCTGTCACAGGGGTTTAGTGTACAGATTAGTTAATTCCCCTTGTAATTTTTTCCATCATTTATTTACCTTTCTCCACAGCAGCCTATTCACCTAACAATAAACTGAGTGCCCATTATGTGCCAAGAACTGGAGATAAGGATATGAGTAAGGAATCTTACTTATCTCCAGTTCTTATAGCATATACTCATTCTGTTTCTCTTTCCTTTGGCCTAGTTTGAGTGCCCAGCAGGTGTTTCAAGTCACTCATTACGTATCTACTCTGCGAAAGTTGTTTGTGCAGCCTGTTTATCCTCTCCTTTGGAACTTCAGTACTCTTTTTTTTTTTTTTGAGACGGAGTCTTGCTCTGTTGCCCAGGCTAGAGTTCAGTGGTGTGATCTCGGCTCACTGCAAGCTCTGCTTCCCGGGTTCATGCCATTCTCCTGCCTCAGCCTCCCGAGTAGCTGGGATTATGGGTGCCTGCCACCACGCCTGGCTAATTTTTTTGTATTTTTAGTAGAGACGGGGTTTCACCATGTTAGCCAGGATGGTCTCGATCTCCTGACCTTGTGATCCGCCTGCCTCAGCCTCCCAAAGTGCTGGGATTACAGGCTTGAGCCACCGTGCCCGGTGTGCCCTGCTAATTTTTTGTATTTTTTTTTTTTGAGATAGAGTCTCGCTCTGTCGCCCAGGCTGGAGTGCAATGGTGTGATCTGGCTCACTGCAATCTCCACCTCTCGGGTTCAAGTGATTCTCCTGCCTCAGCCTCCCAGGTAGCTGGGACTACAGGCATGTGCCACTACGCCCAGCTAATTTCTTGTATTTTTAGTAGAGATGGGGTTTTACTGTGTTAGCCAGGATAGTCTCGATCTCCTGACCTCGTGGTCCACTGGTCCACCTGCCTTGGCCTCCCAAAGTACAGGAATTACAAGCGTGAGTCACCACACCCAGCCAATTTTTTGTATTTTTAATAGAGATGAGGTTGCACCATGTTGGCCAGGCTGGTCTTGAACTCCTGACCTCAGGTGATCCTTCCACCTCGGCCTCCTAAAATGCTGAGATTACAGGTGTGAGCCACCACACCTGGCCCAATTATCTTATTTATTATCATTATTATTTTTGAGACGGAGTTTTGTTCTTGTTGCCCAGGCTGGAGTGCAATGGCACAATCTCAGCTCACCGCAACCTCTGCCTCCTGGGTTCAAGTGATTTTTCTGCCTCAGCCTCCTGAGTAGCTGGGATCACAAACCCCTGCCACCACCCTCGGCTAATTTTGTATTTTTGGTAGAGACAGGGTTTCTCCATGTGGGCCAGGCTAGTCTCAAACTCCTGACCTCAGGTGATCCGCCCACCTCGGCCTCCCAAAGTGCTGGGATTACAGGCATGAGCCACAGCCCCCGGCTACTTTTTATTATTAACATTAAAATATTTTTGTTTAATTAATTTATTTATTTTTAAAATTATTATTATTACTTTTTTTACTTTAAGTTCCAGGATACATGTGCAGAATGTGCAGGTTTGTTACATAAGTATACATGTGCCATGGTGATTTCTGCACCTATCAACCTGTCATCCAGGTTTTAAGCCCCGCCTGCATTGGGTATTTGTCCTAATGCTCTCCCTCCCTTTGTCCCCAACCCTATTTTATTTTTTTGAGACAGAGTCTCCCTCTATTGCTCAGGCTGGAGTGCAGTGGTGTGATCTCAGCTCACTGCAACTTCCACCTCCCAGGGTCAAGCGATTTTCCTCTCTCAGCCTCCTGAGTAGCTGGGACTACAGGTACACACCACACACCTGGATGATTTTTGTATTTGCTTGCAGAGACAGGGTTTCGCCAGGCTGGTCTCAAATTCCTGACCTCAAGTGATCCACCCACTTTGGCCTCCCAAAATGCTGGGATTACAGGCGTGAGACACCGTGCCCAGCAAAAATATTTTTATTTTAAAATTTATTAAATTTATTAAAATTTTATTTTAAAATTTCACCATTTACAAAAAGTGAAATGATCAGATCTTTAGCAAATCCATCAATGAATTTTGACAAGTACATGTCACCCACACCCCTGTCAAGATATAGAAAGTTCTCTTTGCCCTCTTTGATTCTGCCCTACCCCTGAGTAGCCATGGATCTGATGACTATCACTATAGAGCAGTTTTTCCTAATTTTTTTTTTTTTTTGAGATGGAGTCTCACTCTGCCACCCAGGCTGGAGTGCAATGGCACGATCTCGGCTCACTGCAACCTCTGCCTCCTGGGTTCAAGAGATTCTCCTGCCTCAGCCTCCTGAGTAGCTGGGAGTACAGGTGTGAGCCACCATGACTGGCTAATTTTGTACTTCCAGTAGAGATGGGGTTTCGCTATGTTCACCAGGCTGGTCTCAAACTCCTGACCTCAGGTGATCCACCCGCCTCGGCCTCCCAAAGTGCTGGGATTACAGGTGTGAGCCACTGTGCTGGGCTGCCTGTTTTAAAACTTCCTATAAATGCATGCATAGGTATGGCCTCTTTTGTGTCTGGCTTTTTGTATTTGGCATAATATCTATGTAATCCATCCATGTTGTTGCACCTATCAGTAGTTCATTCTTTCTTTAAAAAAAATTTTTTTTTTTAAATTTTGAGACAGTCTCACTGTCTTAGGCTGCAGTGCAGTGGTGAGATCTCAGGTCACTGCAACCTCCACCTCCCAGGTACAAGCATTTCTTCTGCCTCAGCCCCCTGAGTAGCTGGAACTACAGGTGTGTGCACCACCACGCCTGGCTAATTTTTGTATTTTTAGTACAGATGGGATTTCCCAGCTACTCCAGAGGCTGAGGCAGGAGAATCACTTGAACCCAGAAGGCAGAGGTTGCAGTAAGCCGAGATCGCACCACTGCACTCTAGCCTGGGCGGCAAGAGTGAAACTCTGTCTCAAAAAAAAGCCAGGTGTTGTGGCTCACACCTGTGGTCCCAGCTAGTGGGGAGCCCAAGAGTTCAAGCCTTCAGTGAGTGGTAGTCATACTAGTATACCCCAGCCTGGGTGACAGAGTGAAACCTTGTCTCAGAAAGAAAAAAAAAACAAGATGAAGGAAAGCATATGTAGTTTGCTAAAATTTATGTGGAAAGAGGGAAATTATATGTATATACACACACACTTATATTTGCTTGCATATGCATAAAACGTCTAAGTTTGTTTGGTTTTTTTGGGACAGAATCTGACTGTCACCCAGGCTGGAGTGCAATGGTGCAATCTCAGCTCACTGCAACCTCCGCCTCCCGGGTTCAAGTGATTCTTCTGCCTCAGCCTCCCAAGTAGCTGGATTACAGCCTTCTGCCACCATGCCCACTAATGTTTTGTATTTTTAGTAGAGACAGGGTTTTGCCATGTTTTCCAGGCTAGTCTCGAACTCCTTACCTCAGGTGATCCGCCCGCCTCGGCCTCCCAAAGTGCTGGAATTACAGGCGTGGGCCACCAAGCCCGAACAAATGTCTTAAGTTTGTTTTCTTTCTTTCTTTAATTAATTAATTTATTTATTTATTTTTCGAGACGGAGTCTTGCTCTTGTCGCCCAGGCTGGAGTGCAATGGCAAGATCTCGGCTCACTGCAACCTCTGCCTCCCGGGTTCAAGTGATTCTCCTGCCTCAGCCTCCCAAGTAGCTGGGATTACAGATGCCCACCACCACACCCGACTAATTTTTGTATTTTTAGTAGAGACGGGGGTTTCATCATGTTGGCCAGGCTGGTCTCGAACTCTTGACCTTGTAATCCACCTGCTTCGGCCTCCCAAAGTGCTGGGATTACAGGCTTGAGCCACTGCACCCGGCCAAGACAGAGACTTTTTGCCTTTTGAACCTTTTGAATTTTTAACCAAGTGAAAACACAAAAGGTAATTCCAAGGAGGAAAAAAACCCAAAAAACTCATAGTGAAAATTTAAGAAAAAAACTCAGCCTGATAGAATTCTCTTACCTTCATTAAGAGAAAACAAAAATTGTAGCTGGGGCCAGGCGCGGTGGCTCACGCCTGTAATCCCAGCACTTTGCGAGGCAGAGGCAAGCGGATCACGAGGTCAGGAGATGGAGACCATCCTGGCTAACACGGTGAAACCCTGTCTCTACTAAAAATACAAAAAATTAGCCAGGTGTGGTGGCGGGCACCTATAGTCCCAGCTACTCAGGAGGCTGAGGCAGGAGAATGGCGTAAACCCGGGAGGCAGAGCTTGCAGTGAGCCAAGATCGTGCCACTGCACTCCAGCCTGGGTGACAGAGCGAGACTCCATCTCAAAAAAAAAAAAAAAATTGTCTAAAAATTATATCACTCCTTTTTTTTTTTTTTTTTTTGAGATGGAGTCTTGCTGTGTTGGCCAGGCTGGAGTGCAGTGATGCAATCTTGGCTCACTGCAACCTCTGCCTTAAGAGCTCAAGCAATTCTCTTGCCTCCTGAGTAGCAGGGACTACAGTTGCATGCCACCATGCCCAGCTAATTTTTGTATTTCTAGTAGAGATGGGGTTGCACCATGTTGACTAGGCTGGTCTTGAACTCCTGACCTCAAGCGATCCACCGTGGCCCACCCTCAGCCTTTCAAATTTCTGGCATTACAGGCATGAGCCACTGCTCCCAGCCAAACCGCAGTCTTTACAAGGGATTCTTTTTTTTTTTTTTTTCTGATGGAGTTTTGCTGTTGTTGCCCAGGCTGGAGTGCAAGGATGCAATCTTGGCTCACTGCAACCTCTGCCTTCCATGTTCAAGTGATTCTCCTGCTTCAGCCTCCCCAGTAGCTGAGATTACTGGTGCATGCTACCACACCCGGCTAATTTTTAGTAGAGATGGGGTTTCACCATGTTGGCCCGGCTGGTCTCGAACTCCTGACCTCAGATGATCCACCCTCCGCGGTCTCCCAAAGTGCTGTGATTACAGGTGTGAGCCACCATGCCTGGCCTTTACAAGGGATTCTAATGGTCTAATGCGACAGTTGTGGCTTCAGTGAGCTCAGGGTGCCCTCTGGTGTCCATGTGGGCCCAAGGATGTGATATTTAGAAAAAACACTTGTAATTCTGGGGGACATGTAATTGAAGCCACTTGCCAACTTTTCAAGATTCTTATTTTTTTTTTTTTTTTGGAGACAGAGTCTCGCTCTGTTGCCCCATCTGGAGTGCAGTGGTGCAATCTTCTCGGTTCACTGCAACCTCCGCCTCCCTGGTTCAAGCGATTCTCTGCCTCAGCCTCTGGAGTAGCTGGGACTACAGGTGCATGCCACCATGCCTGGCTACTTTTTGTATTTTTTGCAGAGACAGGGTTTCACCATGTTGGCCAAGGTGGTCTGGAACTCCTGGCCTCAAGTGATCCATTGGCCTTGGTCTCCCAAAGTGCTGGGATTACAGGTGTGAGCCACCATGCCCGGCCTTTTTATTTTATTTTATTTTTTTTGAAACAGAGTCTCACTTTTTTGCCCAGGCTGGAATGTTGGTGGCCTGATCTCTGCTCACTGTAACCTCCACCTCCCGGGCTCCAGCGATCCTCCCACCTCAGCCTCCCAAGTGGCTGGGATTACAGGCGTGCGCAACCAAAGATTCTCATTCTTAGCCCATTCTGTTATCCCTATGAGTCTGCTAATAGTTGTCATACTAGGTCACCCTGTATTTGGATCAGAAGGTACGGTAGGAGCGCCTAGGGTCATATACCAGGCCCAAACAGCTGAGGGCAGTAGAGTAAGGCCTGCAGGTCAATGCTTCAAGGAGGGGTGGGAAGGATTGAGGGTGTGGGGGCCAGACTGTGTAGTGGCAGGAACCCCAGGTGCTGTGTGAAGCAGAGAGCATGCATCACCCTCTGACCCACATTCAGTTTCTTCCTGGGTGTCTGCAATTCCCGGGACTCCCAAGGAATTCAAATGCTGCAGCCTTGGGCTTGCGAATTCTCCAGGATGGGCAGAGTATGGTCTTATTTATCCTACACTTCTGCCTCATAGTGCTCTCCCAGTCCTCTTCTGTTATTAGAGATCAAACCAGGTTGCTTTAGGGCAGTGATTCTCAAAGTGTAGTCCTGGGACAAACAGCACTGGCATCACCTGGAAACTTGTTAGAGATGCAATTCTCAGCTGGGCGCAGTGGCTCACGCCTGTAATCCCAGCACTTTGGGAGGCTGAGGCGGGCGGATCACCTGAGGTCAGGAGTTCGAGACCAGCCTGGCCAACATGGTGAAACCCTGTCTCTACTAAAAATACAAAAAATTAGCCGAGCGTGGTGGCAGGCGTCTGTAATCCCAGCTACCTGGGAGGCTGAGACAGGAGAATCACTTGAACCCGGGAGGCGGAGGTTGCAGTGAGCCAAGATTGCGCCATCGCACTCCAGCCTGGGGGACAATAGCAAGACTTCGTCTCAAAATAAATAAATAAATAAATAAAAAAGGAAATGCAATTCTCTGGCCTGGCCCACACATATTATATCAGAAACTGCAGTTTAACCTCCCCCCACCCCTGGAGAATTCTGCTTTTCGAATCAGGCCTTTCTCTTTTTCTGTCTGTCTTAAGTCTCAACATTGAGTAGCTGTGATTTTGGAATAGTCAGATGTGGGACACCCTTTCTTGCCAGGAAGCATCTGGCTCCTCAGTCAGCTTAGTCTGATTCTTGGCCTGGCCCAGGGAAAGAAATTCATGTTCTGGATTCTGAGCAATGCTCTCTTGTCCCAGGTGCCTGTTGGGCTCCTACTTACACCTCAAAACATAGCTTGAACATTGTCTCTTTTGTGAACTTTCTGTGACTCCTAGGTCAGAGAAGATGGTCTACTTGTGAGTTTGCAAAGCATGTGTACATGTCCTGCCAACCATTAGTGTTACAATTTCCTGACTGATCTCTGCCTGAGCAAGACTGGGACAACCTTGAGCGCAAGGGGGGTTTGGTTCCTCTTACCTCAGCCCCAGCTCCTTAAACACAATGCCTGGCACGTGGTAGGTATTTGATAAATATTTATTCAATGAAGGAACTGCCTGCAATGGCCTGGTAGACAGGAAAGCGGAATGAAAGCAGGTCAAAAGTGGCTGGGAGAAGATTTTCTAAATCCCGATGTTGGGCACAGGGACCCCTGAAGTTTTCTTTTGGAACCTTCCTATCTGTCTTGTTCTCCTCTCACCAGGCACATCCCTGCCCTCCAGAGCCCACTTAGTCACACACTACCTTTCAGGACTACCTTCCACATCAGCCAGGTGCAAACCCCACAATGACTTCTGCCATGGCTCCCAATGCTTGGCTGCAACTCTGAGGCCAATTTCAGTGAGAGTAAGGAGCTTATCCAATGGAAGTGTCACTAGGAGTGACAATGGCTGGCTTGAAGATTAGGGAAATAGTGTCTACATTTCAAAAGAGAAGACTGCTCCACAAGGAATGTACAGTTTTGATATGTGCAGGGCTCAGGTCTTCAGGGGATAAATAAGTTCCTAAATGCGCCATCAACAGGAATTTCCTTCAGGATAAATAGGAAAAGAACATTTAGGCTTTTTAATTAAAATTTTATTTTACATGTTTTTAAAATTCACAATAGATATTTTATCCTAAAATAAAGTAAAACCGAGAGGTGACAGCGTGCTGGCAGTCCTCACAGCCCTCGCTTGCTCTCCCCGCCTCCTCTGCCTGGGCTCCTACTTTGGCGGCACTTGAGGAGCCCTTCAGCCCTCCGCTGCACTGTGGGAGCCCCTTTCTGGGCTGGCCAAGGCCGGAGCCCTCTCCTTCAGCTTGCGGGGAGGTGTGGAGGGAGAGGCGCGAGCGGGAACCGGGGCTGTGTGCCGCGCTTGCCGGCCAGCTGGAGTTCCGGGTGGGCGTGGGCTTGGCGGGCCCCGCACTCGGAGCAGCCGGCCAGCCCTGCTGGCCCCTGGCAATGAGGGACTTAGCACCCGGGCCAGCAGCTGCGGAGGGTGTACTGGGTCCCCCAGCAGTGCCAGCCCACCAGCGCTGCGCTCGATTTCTCACCGAGCCTTAGCTGCCTTCCCGCGGGGCAGGGCTGGGGACCTGCAGCCCGCCATGCCTAAGCCTCCCACCCACTCCAAGGGCTCCTGTGCGGCCCGAGCCTCCTCGACGAGCACCACCCCCTGCTCCACGGCGCCCAGTCCCATCGACCACCCAAGGGCTGAGGAATGCAAGCGCACCGTGCGGCACTGGTAGGCAGCTCCACCTGCAGCCCCGGTGCGGGATCCACTAAGTGAAGCCAGCTGGGCTCCTGAGTCTGGTGGGGACGTGGAGAGTCTTTATGTCTAGCTCAGGGATTGTAAACACACCAATCAGCACCTTGTGCCTAGCTCAGGGTTTGTGAGTGCACCAATCCACACTCTATCTAGCTGCTCTGGTGGGGCCTTGGAGAACCTTTATGTCTAGCTCAGGGATTGTAAATACACCAATCGGCACTCTGTATCTAGCTCAAGGTTTGTAAACACACCAATCAGCACCCTGTGTTTAGCTCAAGGTTTGTGAATGCACCAATCTACACTCTGTATCTAGCTGCTCTGGTGGGGCCTTGGAGAACCTTTGTGTCCATACTGTGTATCTAACTAATCTGATGGGGACTTGGAGAACCTTTGTGTCTAGCTCAGGGATTGCAAACGCACCAATCAGCACCCTGTCAAAACAGACCACTCGGCTCTACCAATCAGCAGGATGTGGGTGGGGCCAGATAAGAGAATAAAAGCAGGCTGCCCGAGCCAGCAGTGGCAACCCAGTCGGGTTCTCTTCCACACTGCTAAAGCTTTGTTCTTTCGCTCTGCAATAAATCTTGCTACTGCTCACTCTTTGGGTCCATAGTGCTTTTATGAGCTGTAACACTCACTGTGAAGGTCTACAGCTTCACTCCTGAAGCCAGCAAGACCAAAAGCCCACCGGGAGAAACAAACAACTCCAGACGTGCCGCCTTAAGAGCTATAACACTGACCGCAAAGCTCTGTAGCTTCACTCCTGAGCCAGCGAGACCACGAACCCACCAGAAGGAAAAAACTCCGGACACGTCCGAACATCAGAAGGAACAAACTCCAGACGCGCCACCTTAAGAGCTGTAACACTCACCGCGAGGGTCCACAGTTTCATTCTTGAAGTCAGTGAGATCAAGAACCCACCAATTCCGGACACAAAACTTGCTTAATTACAGAAAATATGAAAAGTATATAAAAGCAGGGTCTCACTCTGTCGTCCAGGCTGGAGTGCAGTGGTGTGATCACGGCTCACTGCAACCTCAAACTCCTGGTCTCACACGATCCTCCTGCCTCGCCTCCGAAAACTCTAGTTTTACAGATATGAACCATAGCGCTAGCTCTTACTGTCTTTCTTCAACACGTCCTCCCATCCTTCCCTCCTTTCTCCACTCTGCATTTGACCCCGGTGTATTCCAGCCTCCAGGCCAACACACGTGACCACGTCTGCCTGGGGCAGTTGAAGTAAAGGACGCGAGGCGGCGCTGTCACCGCATTCTGTGAACCGCAGCGCTCTGGGTCCCTCCCGCTGGTCTAGTATCATTTCAGTGAACGTCACTCTACATTTTTTGTGTGTGTGTGAGATGGAGTCTCTGTCGCCCAGGCTGGAGTGCAGTGGCGCGATCTCGGCTCCCTGCAAGCTCCGCCTCCCGCGTTCAAGCCATTTTTCTGCCTCAGCCTCCGAGTAGCTGGGACTACAGGCGCCTACCACCACACCCGGCTAATTTTTGTATTTCTAGTAGAGAAGGCTTCACCATGTTGGCCAAGCTGGTCTCGAACTCCTGACCTCAAGTGATCCGCCCGCCATGGTCTCCCAAAGTGCCGGGATTACAGGCGTGAGCCACCGCGCTCGGCTGTCACTGCAGACTTTGATGGGGGCCACACTCGGGGTATAAATTAGGATCCTCACTGAAAGGGCGGGACCATGGAGGCTTTTTCTTGGCCCCTTAGTTGTGGGTTTTCCTCTGGGCGGCGAAGCCAGTTTCCATCAGAACTGCCCAGAGGCGGGCGCTGCCTTCCTGGGGTGACGCAGCAGCAGGAAGAGTTTCCGGATCCTGGAATCCGTGGGCGGCCCGTGGGAGGGGCTGAGGCTCATTTCTCTACTCACCTGTCTCCGAATCCGCCGTGGTGTTTCAAGCGAGTCAAGATTCCAGATCGCGCCCCAGGCTGGACTCGGAATTACTGCCCCGCGGGTCTGCATTTTCACAGCGGCAGGTGTGAGTTCCCCGCCGCTGGAGACCAGAAGCCTGAAGGCAGCTCCGCCCACCCCAGCCCACAGCGCCGTTATTCCGTTTCTATATCAGTAAACACTTGTCATTTTCCGTAGACCAGGGCGGGGTGACGGGTGATCCCAGTCCTCGCAGTGAACTCTGGGGCGCAGAATTCAAAACGCTTGCGGTCGCCGAGCGCAGCCCCGCCCTGGGTTATGTAAGTGACAGCGCTGGGCCGTTTCTCTTTTTTTTCCGGACCCCGCAGTGGCGCCTAAAGTCTGCAAGGAGGAGGTCGCCTCTGTGCTGTGAGTCCAGGAATCTAAGGCGAGTGCTGAGGGAGAAAATGTAGTTGATGGGGCAGAGCAGAAGGGGCTGTAGGTGGGTTGGAGGGGGAGGGGAACGGGCAGCCAGGCCTGGACCCTGGGGAGTGACTCACCCGGAGCCGAAGACCATCTCAGCTTTCCCTAGCCCAGAAAGGGTGGGACTGGCTTTATTTCTGCCTGCCATCACCTCAAAATGCCGTGGGACAAATCTTACATATTATTATTGTTATTTATTTATGTATTTTATTTTTTTTGAGACAGTCTTGGTCTGTCACCCAGACTGGAGTGCAGTGGCGCCATCTGGGCTCACTGCAACCCCCACCCCCCCGGGTTCAAGCAATTCTTCCTGCCTCAGCCTCCCAAGTAGCTGCGATTGCAGGCACCCCCCACCACGCCCGGCTGATTTTTATATTTTTAGTAGAGACGGGGTTTTGCCATGTTGTCCAGGCTAGTCTCGAACTCCTGACCTTAGGTGATCCACCCGCCTCGGCCTCCCAAAGTGCTGGGATTACAGGTGTAAGCCACCGCGCCTGGCCGGGAAATATCTCTTACAGAAATAAAGGCAGTTGGCTGGGTGTGGTGGCTCACCTGTAATCCTAGCACTTTGGGAGGGTGAGGCAGGCAGATGGTTTGAGCCTAGGAGTTTAAGACCAGCCTGGGCAAAATGGTGAAACCCCTTCTCCACCAGAAATACAAAAAATTAGCCAGGTGAGGTGGCTCATGCCTGTAGTCCCAGCTACTCCGGAAGCTGAGGTGGGAGGATCACCTGAGCCTGGGGAGGTCGCGGCTGCAGTGAGCCATGATTAACCCACAACTGCACTCCGCCTGGGTGACAGAGTGAGGCCCTGTGTCAAAAAATAAGAAAGAAAGAAGAGAGAGAGAGAGGAAGGGAGGGAGGGAGGGAGTTGAGGTTCAGAATATGTAACAGTGTTTATTGCTATACTCCATTCAATGGACTATGGACTATTATGCAGTGATTTAAAAGTAGGAGTTTGGGCTCACACCTGTAATCTCAGCATTTGGGAGGCTGAGGTGGGCGGATCACTTGAGGTCAGGAGTTCGAAACCAGCCTGGTCAACATGGTGAAACCTCGTTTCTACTAAAAATACAAAAATTACCCTGGCATGGTGGCACACGCCTGTAATCTCAGTTACTTGGGAGGCTGAGGCAGGAGAATCACTTGAACTTGGGAGATGGAGGTTGCAGTGAGCTGAGATTGCATCACTGCACTCCAGCCTGGGGGACAAGAGCAAAACTCCGTCTCAAAAAAAAAAAAGATATTTCCCACCTTGGATTGCTGGGTCGGGGGGTGGTGGGTATTTTCATTCATAATTGTCAGATTACTTTCATAAACAATGGAAACAGTTTCAGGCTCCTCAGCTTCTCACCTCCAAAATGGGCCTTTTCCTGTATCATTAACAGTCCTCAATGTTCTGGCTAATCAACTGAGCGACTGTTTATAGATTTGCAGGCCATTTGGATTTACAATTAATCTTATTAATGAGGCTGAAATGTGAAGTTTATCTCAGCCTCAAAGAAGTAATTCAGCAAGGATCAGTGGTTTCACTTAACAGTCTGGCTCTGAGGCTGGCTGTGGCCCTGTTATCCATGGTGAGCACCATGGGAATGCAGGCAAGGGCTGTGAGAGGCTTGGAACAAGGCTCCACCCAGGAGAGATCTGGGTGGGCGTTGGTGACCAGTAGAACCTAGGTGTCCTGGGCCAGTGCCCTTGGAGACTAGTCTTCTTTACCCCAGGCATCTTCTTTATTCTGGAATGAGCCTGCCCATCCCTCAGGAAGACTGAAAGGAATTCGGTCAGAAGAATATTATTGACTTTTATCCAGACTTGATTTCAGTAGAGTTCTGGGACCTGCCATATCCTATGGGTGAGCTCTATCCAGGTCCCCTTCCCTGAATTACCTGTCCTCTCCCCACTGACTGGGATGACACCTAATTTTACAACCTGCTGTAGCATCTTTGCTCCCACTGTGACAGTAAACTCCTTGAGACTGGTGGCCATCTTGGGAAGTGATTAGATTCAGAAGAGGTTGAGAGGTTGGGGCCCCCATGATGGGATTAGTGTCCTTTTAAGAAAAAGAAGAGACTGGAGCTCCCACTCTCTTCACCACGTGAGGATATGGCAAGAAGGCAGCTGTCTGCCAGGCAGGAAGAGGGCCCTCACCAGGAACTGAATCTGCTGGTTCCCTAACCTCAGATTTCCAGGGTCCAGAATTGTGAGAAAGAAATGTCTGTTGTTAACCAATCCATCTGTGGTGTTTTGTTATGGCAGCACAAGCTGACTAAACAAGTGCCAAAACCAAACCAGTAACTCCCACTTTCTAGTCTCGGACCCAGTATTAAGGAATTCTGGTCACATAGTTTATTCATCCATTTAACAAATATTTAGTAAGTGCTTCTGTGCCAGGCATTTTTCTAGGCCTGGTGATCATTTAATCAAAAGAGACTAACACCTGCTCCCTGATGCTTACAATCTGAAAGACAATAAAGAAAAATATAGTAACAGTAGTGAATTATATGGATGTGTTCCAGCAATTGATTGCTGAGCAAAAAATAATCTTAACGCATACAAACGCCGGGCATGGTGGCTCACGCCTGTAATTCCAGCACTTTGGGAGGCTGAGGTGGGCAGATCACAAGGTCAAGAGTTCGAGACCAGCCTGGCCAGCATGATGAAACCCTGTTTCTACTAAAAATACAAAAATTAGCTGGGCGTGGTGGTAGGTGCCTGTAATCCCAGCTGCTTGGGAGGCTGAGGCAGGAGAATCGCTTGAAACCAGAACGTGGAGGTTGCAGTGAGCCAAGATTGTGCCACTGCACTCCAGCCTGGGTGACAGAGTGAGACTCCATCCCCCCCAAAATATATATATATGTATATATATATTATAAACAACCTTTATATTATCTCTCATTCTGTGGGCTGATTGGGCTCAGCTGGGCAGCTCTTCCGCTCCATACAACATGGGCTGGGCCACCATCATCTGGAGCCCAGCTGGTCCAACACATTCAAGAGGCTCCTGCACAGGGCTGCAGTTGGTGCTGGCTTGTTGGCTGGGAACTCACTGAGGCTGTGAACCAGGTGACTTGGTTTCTCCTCCACCTGCTCCTCCACGTGCCCTGGCTGCTTCTGGCTCTGCACCTGGGGTCCGGGTGTTTCAAGTGGCCAAGTCAGAACCACAAGGCATCTTATGCTGGAACCTCAGAAGTCAGGCAGCATCACGTTCCTCATGTTCTAGTCACCAAAGCAAGTCCCAGATCCAAAAAGGGGGATTAGCATCAGCTCTTGATAGAGGATGGCAAGGTCACATTGCTAAAGAGCATGTGGGATGGGAGATATTGTTGAGGCCATCTTTGGAAAAGGACTTTTATGTTTACAAAGTGATAGGTGATAAAAAGAAAAAATAGGCCAGGTGCGGTGGCTCACGCCTGTAACCCCAGCACTTCGGGAGACCGAGATGGGTGGATCACGAGGTCAAGAGATCGAGACCATCCTGGCCAATATGGTGAAACTCTGTCTCTACTTAAAAATACAAAAATTAGCTGCGTGTGGTGGCGTGCACCTGTAGTCCCAGCTACCCTGGAGGCTGAGGCAGGAGAATCGCTTGAACCCAGGAGGTGAAGGTTGCAGTGAGCCAATATCGCACCACTGCCCTCCAGCCTGGTGACAGAGCAAGACTCCACCTCAAAAAAAAGAAAAAAAGTAAAAAAAAAAATGCAAAGTTGACAATCAATGCAAAGTAATAGAGGTGGCATTTTAAGTAGGGTGGTCAGGGTGGGCCTCATGAAGGTGCCATTTGAGCAGACTTGAAGAGGAGAGAAACTGAGACACGCAGGTATGTGCAAAGGAAGAACCTTCCAGAATCACCCTCATGTACACCTATGCTCTGTACATACCCAGGGCTCTGCACTGAGGCAGACCCTAAAGCTGCAGTGGGAATGGAGGTGGACACACTTATGGAAAGACTTCTTCAAAGAATGTTGGGGACCCAGGTCTACCCTTCCTGCTGTGGCTCTTATACGACCTGGAGTTGGGGAGGGAAAGGCACTGGCATGTGGAGGAAGACTAGGAGAGGAGGGGAGGCCAAAGCGTGTCCCACCCTCACTCCACCTCTCTGCTCTCTGTCTCCTACATCGAGTGCCTCCTTCCCCAGGGCTTGTGGTCCCTGACAAGGAGGACCCTGAGGGCAACCACACCTTGCCATGCAGAGCACCTGGCTTCTCATCTGCCAAGCTCACTCTGACCCGGCTGCAGGAAGGGAAGGAGCCAACCCCGGACTCAAGACTCAAGGGGACCAGAACCAGGGAGATGAGACATACCAGGGCTGGGCAGCTGTGGGGGTCCTTCCAGAGAGGAGCTGAGATACGCCTACCTGGAGGGGCCCCTGGGCCTGGAGGGGCTCCTCAGTGTGACTGGGTGAAGTGTTTTCAGAGGACCAGGGTTGAGGTTGGGGGCATCTCATCCAGACCCTGCCGGCATCTGCCCCAGAACCCAAGGGCCCCTCCTTCCTCCCTCCTCAATGGAAATGCTGGAGATGTCCTCAGTCACCCTCTGAGCACTCACACATCACCCCTTATTTGGAAATTTTTCTCACTCTAACCTTCCTTCCTGCCGCACCTTCTGCCCCATCCCCAGGCTCTGGCCTCTCTCTCTCCTCTTCTACCCTTTAGCAGGTAATGACTCAGTTCCCACTGAGGAGCCAGCTGTAGGTGAGAGTTTGGGCTCTCGGTGAGGTTGGGAGAAGGAAAAGGCTTATGGGCCAGGGGGTGGGAGGGAGAATGGGCACAGCCAGAGCAGAGTGGAAGGGTTGGGGGAGGCGATAAAGACAGATGTTTCCGTATTACCATTTTTCTTTCATGGTCCGAGGGAGCTGCCCTTCCCCCAAGCCCAGGAAAGTGAAAAGAGAAGCAGGAACAGTAAAATACTCCACAGGAAAGAAAAATCTTAGTGATCCCTCCTGCTGTCTCTTTCCTTTTGCCTATTCTGGCAAATTTTGTAAGTGAAATTTGTTACCAAGATGTGAAAATCTTATAAGAAAGTCTCTAAATATTTGAGAATAAAATTATCAATGTCTCAGCTCTGCAGGCTGAAAAAACGGAGGCTTTACAAAATAAAATCATGCTTGGAAAACTTCTCCTCTGAGGGATGTCAAAGGCTGCACTGAATAAGCTCTAAGGTGGTGCTGAAATGAGTCATTTATTTGCCTGTGTAAGCTCAGGCAGGTGTTGGAATTGAGGAAGTATAGGTAATGAAAAAAGTAAACATGTCCTCGGGACATAGCGACTGGTGATGACCACACAATCAACACAATAAACTCTAGCATTCACATTGTAGTCCAGCTCATTCAAGCAAAGCTATCTCCAATAGGGAGTTTACCCTGTACAGAACACGTGCATTTCCACCTGTTCTCAGACTGACCCTTTGCTCATCACAATAGTGAAAAAAAACACAGCCCTGGGTGGAGATTTAAGATGCTAATGAGTCATGAGATGTATGAACAAGCATGTACAGCTACTGCACACGTGCACCCAGAAGACCGCCCAGAACATGCTTGCTAGTAACACCTCTTCCCACCCACCTCCTGTGAATAATCATGTAAGACTCCCATAAAGGGAGTTTCTCCAGCAGTGATCAATGCTGTCTCATCCTTAGGAGCAGCCCACCCTGAATCCTCTCAGGGTGTACAGTTTATTTTGCACTTAACTTTCAAAATAATATTTTTCCTTTGTAATAAATTGCTTTGTACTTCATCTCCTTTGCTGCGTGTTTCTTGTTTAAATTCTTTTAAATGAAGAAGTCAAGAACCAAGGTATTACAACAGCCGTCAACATTTCCGGTGCCATGACTCAGAGGTTTGTCTGCTTCGTTGGTTTCAGTTTCCCTTCACTACTGGTGAGTACTATGGCAGCCAGAGACCCCTGATTGACTATCACTGCTTTCCCCAGATCTATTAAGGTTTTGGGGGAGGACCTTTTAACTCACTCACATTCTTTGAGCAACTAATTGTGATTGCTTTCCATTTGGCTGCTGCTTTTACAGTGTTTACAATTACCTTATTTGGATGGAACGCCCTGATTATTCAGCCTTGGGACTTTTGCTGCTTCTGTTTCACTTTTTGTTTTGCTGTTCCTCCCAGGACTGCACCTGATCTGTACTTACTGGCTATTGTAACTTTTTTTTTTTTTTTTTTTTTTTGAGACAAGAGTCTCACTCTGTCACCCAGACTGGAGTGCAGTGGCTCTATCTCGGCTCACTGCAACCTCCACCTCCTGGGCTCAAGCGATTCTCCTGCCTCAGCCTCCCAAGTAGCTGGGATTACAGGCGTGCACCATCACGCCCGGCTAATTTTTGTATTTTCAATAGAGTCGGGGTCTCACCATACTGGCTCAGCTGGTCTCGAACTCCTGACCTTATGATCAGCCCACCTTGGCCTCCCAAAGTGCTGGGATTACAGACATGAGCCACCGCGCCCAGCACTTGTTTGTTAATCAAGTAATCTCTTCAAAGATTTTTGTTCACCTTGAGGGACACATTAGATCTACTTTTGCCAACAGTCCCCATTCCTCCAGGCTCTGTGTGTTCTGAGACTCCTCTGAGTCTCAGAGGAGTGTGTTCTGAACGTCTCCTCTGAGAACAGGAGACGTTCCAAGAGGCCATCCATGTTGAGTGCAGGATGTGTGGCCACATGGATGTGTAGTCATGGGGACTATAACCAGGCATTCCAAGCATGATGACTGGACATTAAAAATGGCAGATCAGTGAAATAAGGAAGGGCTTGTTGGTGAGACATCCAGGCTCCCCGGCTGGCAGCAGAGATCACTTCAGTTCAGCTTGGAGACGTCCAGCACCAGTGAGACCTAGAATGGTGCATGGCAAATGCCCATGACCTCCTAGGGCCTCAGTTTCATGGGGATTCAAGGGAACACCCTGGACTCCATCGTCCAGCTTAGCTCACAGGGATGCCGATGACCTCCTGGATTTTGGTACATGTTTCTGTGGTTGCAGGATTCTCTTGTTACCTAGAAAGCCACCTCCTCTACTGTCACTGAAACACCTCTAGGGTATATACTAAACATTGGAATATTTTGAAACTGTATAAATTAAAAGATAATAGGTGGGTGCGATGGCTTACACCTGTAATCTCAGCACTTTGCGAGGCCGAGGTGGGCAGATCACCTGAGGTTGGGATTTTGAGACCAGCCTGACCAACATGGAGAAACCCCATCTCTACTAAAAATACAAAATTAGCTGGGCATGGCGGCACATTCCTGTAATCCCAGCTACTCGGGAGGCTGAGGCAGGAGAATTGCTTGAACCAGGAGGCGGAGGTTGCAGTAAGCCGAGATTATGCCATTGCACTCCAGCCTGGGCAACAAGAGCAAAACTCCGTCTCAAAAAAAAATTTTTTTTAAATAAATATAATAAACAATTGCCAAAGAGTAAAACTATTGATACAATCCTCACCACTTTAAGGCTTAAGGTTTTCTTTTCCATCACTGAGTCTCTCCCTTTCCTCTCATTCTTCCACTTACAAATCTCCAAAACAATTCTCACGCACTGTGACTTTGCTCCCTTCAGCTGATTTATCAGTTCATCCTGATAGCCTGATAGGTGACAAGCAGAGGTGAGGACTTCAAAGTTCACACCAAGTAGATCTAGTTCACTGTGGCCCTCCTTGACAGGAGGTTTGTGAAGCTGGCAGGGCTTCTGTCCAGGCTGTGCACTGTCTGGGAATCCTCATTTGCAATGTCTGGAGATCTTCATTTTTCTTACTACTAACAATCATCTTGTTATGTTTGCACTTCTTTGCATTTCACCCCTTTTGAATTCTGTCCTTCCATGAAAATTTATTGTCCTTTTTGATCCATCTGTATTCACAGACTTTCATTTGCTTTCTTTTTCTCTCTAACCCGTAAGACTGATAAAAATTGTCCTAAAGTTTCTTTCTTTCTGCTTTGTGTGTCAGGGCTCCTCTGCCTTTGGTGAGAGCAGAGTTTTATCTTTACCGGAAGAAAACTTTTTTTTTTTTTTTTGAGATGAAATCTCACTCTGTCACCCAGGCTGGAGTGCAGTGGCCCGATCTCAGCTCACTGCAACCTCCACCTCCCTGGTTCGAGCAATTCCCCTGCCTCAGCCTCCCGAGTAGCTGGGACTACAGGTGTGTGCCACCACGCCTGGCTAATTTTTTTGTATTTTTAGTAGAGATGGGGTTTCACCATATTGGCCAGACTGCTCTGGAACTCCTGACCTCAGGCAATCTGCCTGCCTCAGCCTCCCAAAATGCTGTGATTACAGGTGTGAGCCACAGTGCCCAGCCCTGGAAGAAAACTAATTGCTGGGTGAAATATATTTTCTACCAAATTCCCCTTACGAGACCTAGAAAGCCTAATGAACATAGCTACTTACATGTCCTAAGCTGTTATTTTAAGGCCAAAATTAAAACATTAAGGGCACATATAAGGTTGGCCATTACTAACCTGAAAAAAAAGATAAATAAATTTCCATGATTAGGTCTTTTCAACACTGCATAGTCCCAAACAATACTGTTTTACAATTAGAGTTTTTGTTGTTGTTGCTGTTTTTAAATAAAAAGAAAGGAAGTTTGGGTGCAGTGGCTCATGCCTGTAATCCCAGCACTTTGGGAGGCCAAGGCGGGCAGATCACGAGGTCAGGAATTTGAGACCAGCCTGGCCAATATGGTGAAACCCCGTCTCTACTAAAAATACAAAAATTAGCTGGGCATGGTGGCACGTGCCTGTAGTCCCAGCTACTCGGGAGGCTGAGGCAGGAGAATCACTTGAACCTGGGAGGCAGAGGTTGCAGTGAGACAAGATTCAGCCACTGCACTCTAGCCTGGGTGACAGAGAGAGACGCCATCTCAAAAAAAAAAAAAAAAAAAAAAAAAAAAAAGAGGATGATCAGGGATTTTCCAAGGGCCCAGGGGAACCTGACATTATTCCCCCTACTAACCAGACAGCTCTATACTAAGACCAGTCCCTTAGAGACTGATACCAAATCTATTATGCTCATGTTATTCAAAAGAATTTGGGAGGCCGGGCGCAGTGGCTCACGCCTGTAATCCCAGCACTTTGGGAGGCCGAGGCAGGTGGATCATGAGGTCAGGAGTTCGAGACCAGCCTGACCAACATGGTGAAACCCCATCTCTACTAAAAATACAAACATTAGCCAGGCGTGGTGGCTTGCACCTATAATCCCAGCTACTCAGGAGGCTGAGGCAAGATAATCACTTGAACGTGGGAGGCGGAGGTTGCAGTGAGCCGAGATCGCACCACTGCACTCCATCCTGGGTGACAGAGCGAGACTCTGTCTCAAAAAAGAATTTGGGGAAATCTAACATAATTAATGACTCTATAATAAGAAATATACCAGCTGGGTGCAACAGTGGCCCTTTGGGAGGCCAAGGTGGGTGGATCACTTGAGGTTAGGAGTTCGAGACCAGCCTGGCCAACATGGTGAAACCCTGTCTCTACTAAAAATAAAAAAATTAGTCGGGTGTGGTGGCGCAGGCCTGTAATCCCAGCTACTTAGGAGGCTGAGGCAGGAGAATCACTTGAGTCCAGGAGGCGGAGGTTGCAGCGAGCTGAGATCATACCACTGCACTCCTGCCTGGGTGATGAGTGAGACTCTGTCTCAAAAAAAAAAAAAAAAAAAAGAAAGAAAAATACCTCCTACCAACAACTTTCCTCCCTTACAATCTAGTCCAGGGTTACTCTTCAAACCTCTTAAGCTTCTACTCCTGTAGTCCTTCCTCACTTGACACACAGTCTTCTGCACCCCGTCCTTATCAGCTTGTTCACCAAACACTCCCTAAAGAGCCCAGTCCTGCTGGGACAACTCATAGCAGAGTATCCTATTGCCCCCCTAAAACAAAAAGCAACCTACTCTCACTCTCTATCTGTATCTCCCTCTCTCAGGTAACACACAGAAAAACAACCAAATCCTCTTAGAGACCTACTTCATGAGTCAGTCTGTCCCAGATATCAGGAAAAAGTCACAAAACTAGTCATAAATCCCCAAGTCCCAATAAATGAACTGCTAAACCTAACTTTTGGTGTCTTTAATTACCAAGACAGAGTGGAAAAGGCACATAGAGATCAAAGGGAAGAAAAGAGAGACAAAAGATAGTCCCAATTTTTGGCCTTCACTCACTATGCGAAAACTCCCACCTCCAGGTCATCCTGAGTGGAACCCAAGGGCTATTCCTGCACTTATAAAAAGCCTGGACACCGGAGCTAAGTAAGTAACAAAGGCCTTCAGGCTTGCAAACCCTCTGGAGCCTGTCATCAATGTGACAAAGAAGGGCAATGGAAGAAGGACTGTCTCCAACTCTGAAGGGAGGAGGGACTCCTAATTCCTTATTGTCCCTGGCTAAAGACTAAAGAGACCAAAGGCAAAAAACAGCTCCTATGTGGCAATCAGCCCCAGTCACAGCAATGGAGCCTCGGATGACCCTGGACATGACAGGCAAAAATATCAATATCCTTTTAAAGACAGAGGCTGGCCTGTCAGTTCTCACTGTCTGCCCTGGGCCTCTGTCTACCAAACACGACACTGTCATTGGTGTTAATAGCAAACTCCAGACTAGGATTTTCACTCTACCATGCAGCTGACCAACTTCTGCTGCAGTAAAACTTAGGGGTGTAGGCCTTTGGTGTGTTTATCAAAAATAAAAAATGATTCCTTTTAAGTCATCACAGAAACTTGAAACAAAGACTCCAAGCTATTCCTATGAAGCACTGGAGGATCTAAGGCTCCTGTCCAAAAACAGCCAAGACCCAAAACATCAGGCAATTAATGTTGCCTCAGCATAAGCTTCTATTCAAGAAAACAACTCACAGTGAAATGTGATGTTTTTATTTTTTTCTTATTTATTTACTGTATTTTAGGCGCTTTTAGTAAAACGACCTTATCTGCTAAAGAAATAATAAATCATACTACTAATTTATAAAAATTAACTCAGTCTTGCTGGCTTTGCATGACTACCAAAATTTAAAAATGTGCAAAACCTGTTTCTCGGGAAGAATGGGCCAACATTCCTATACACCTCCTGGAACAAACTTTGGACCATAATGTGGAAATATCTGACTAAACAAACAATACAAAGAGAGTTCCTTGGACCTGGCCACTGCCAGTTCAAACTTCCATTTTTATCTATGAATAATAGCTTCACTCTGCCAAGGGGAAAATTGCTTTCTTACCTTGCTTTTTACCCAGAGCAATTCCCCTTCTGCCTTTACAGCAACCATGCCAGTTTCACTCCTTTTATAGAAAAACTCCACAAGAGAGTCAGTATATCTAAACCTTTCTCACAGAATCATTTATACACCTCATGATAGAACCCTAAAGGGGGAACTTTATTTCAAAAAGCTTATTAACACCACTCAACTCTACCATCCTCTAATTAGTCCAGTGACCACCAAATTTCCATTACTTTTACCACCTCGATGCAAAATGCTTTTGCAGCACAAATTTCACCATCACATATAATTTGCTTGTGTTGGCCGGGCGCAGTGGCTCACGCCTGTAATCCCAGCACTTTGGGAGGCTGAGGCGGGTGGATCACGAGGTCAGGAAATTGAGACAATCCTGGCCAACATGGTGAAACCCTGTCTCTACTAAAAATACAAAAATTAGCTAGATATGGTGGCATGTGCCTGTAATCCCAGCTACTCAGGAGGCTGAGGCAGGAGAATCGCTTGAACCAGGGAGTCGGAGGTTGCAATGAGCTGAGATCGCACTACTGTACTCCAGCCTGGCGACAGAGTGAGACTGTCTCAAAAAAAAAAAAAAAAAAAAAAGAATTTGTTGGTATTTGTGGATCTTCAGCACGTCTACAACTCCCTCCACAATGGAAGGGACGATGTCCCATAGTTTACATTTCCCCTTATCTACCTTTTGCATTGGCTAACAAATCTCTCCCTTTCCCCATGTACCAACATCACAAGATCCACCGCTGAGCAGGATTCCTTGTTCCCTTGGGATTAGTGCTATCCTCTCTATCGGGACTAGCAGAGCCAGCCACAGAGACAGAGCCTTGGGAACCCAGCATAAACTGTCTCAGGAGACCAGAGTGGCCCTCTGACAAACAGCAGAGAGCCTCACTAGACTTCAGCAACAGCTGGACTTCCTGGCAGTCCTACAAAACCGAAGAGCCTTAGACCTTCTCACAGTTGGACAACGAGGAACATGTTTGTATCTAGAAGAAGAATGTTGTTTTCGCATCAATCAAATTACAAATATATATTAATAGCATTTTCTTGGAATAAGAAAATCATTACCCAGGCAGACAAAATTGAATATTTAGGAGCTTCCGTGGGAACTTGGAAGCAATGGCTGTTTTCTGCCTTGCTCCCTTTAACAATGCCAGTCATTACCATATGTTTAGCTCTAACTTTTGGTCCAACTTTGTTTAAAATGCTGATTTCCCAGCCTGGCCAACATGTCGAAACACTGTCTCTACTAAAAATACAAAAAATTAGCCAGGTGTGGTGGCAGGCGTCTGTAATCTCAGCTACTTGGGAGGCTGAAGCAAGAGAATTACTTGAACCTGGGAGGCAGAGGTTGCAGTGAGCTGAGAGCTGAGATCACTCCATTGCACTCCAGCCTGGGCATCAGAGCCAGACTGTCTCAAAAAAAAAAAAAATTGCTGATTTCTTGCTTTGTCACCTACAGCAAATCCCGGTTCATGTGATGGTTTTGCAAGGCTTCCAACCTTTGGCTGCTAATGAGCTATCTCACATCTTGCCCACCAGTCCCCTGAAAGACATGGCTTACACACTGTTAGACTAGGCAGGAAAAGACTTCAGGGCCCAGGTTAGGCAAGGACAATGCCGCACTCAGCAGGAAGCAGCTCTGGAAGAAATGACCTAGCCTCTCATCCTCCCGTATGATTATGGGTCCTAAGATCTTTTAGGGAGGAATTGAGGCAGGATAGGGAGTCAAGGAAGTAACTGTGTCCTTGGGATGCAGCAACAGTGATAACCATACAGTCAACACAATAAGCTCCAGCATTCACATTGTAGACCAGCTCATTCAAGCAAAGCTATCTCCAGTAGGGAATTTACCCTGTAGAGAGCATGCGCATTTTGATTTTACCTACCGTCAAACTGACCCTTAGCTCATTACAATAGTAAGAAACACACACCTGGGTGGAGATTTAAGATGCTTATGAGACATAAGATGCATGAACAAGCATGTATAGCTACTGCACATGTGCATCCAGAGGACCACCCACCCAGAGGACCACCCAGAACATGCTGACTAGTAACACCTCTTCCCACCTCCTTATGAATAATCATGTAAGACCCCCATAAAGGGAGTTTCTGCAGCAATAATCAATGCTGTCTCATCCTTAGGAGCAGCCCACCCTGAATCCTCTCTCTCAGGGCATACTATCTATTCTGCACTTAACTTTCAAAATATCATTTTTCCTTTGCAATAAATTGCTCTGTACTGCATCTCCTTTGCTGTGTGTCCCTTGTTTACATTCTTTTAAATGAAGAAGACAAAGACAGAGGTATCACAGATGTCATCAACAGAACCTCTATGTCCTCCTTAGGAAAGTGAAATGAGCACCCAATGCCCAGATTTTGGTTATAATACATCAATCTCCAATAGAAGGAACCAGGGCTCCTTAGAAAAATAGCTGATTCTAGGGGTGAAGTAGGAAAAATACAAGATAAGCCTGGAACATCTTGAAATGCTACAAAAGAACTGGGCATGGTGGCTCACGCCTGTAATCCCAGCACTTTGGGAGGCTGAGGCAGGCGAATCACAAGGTCAGGAATTCGAGACCAGCCTGGTCAACATGGTGAAACCCCATCTCTACTAAAAATACAAAAAATTAGCCAGGCGTAGTGGTGGGCACCTGTAATCTCAGCTACTCGGGAGGCTGAGGCAGGAGAATAGCTTGAACCTGGGATGCAAGACCAGGAAGACTCAATATTGTTAATATGTCATTTCTTCCCAACCTGATCTATAGAATCAATGCAATCCCAGTCAAAACCCCAGGACGTTATTTTGTGTATACTCACAAGCTGATTTAAAAATTTATATGGAGAGGCCGGGCACAGTGGCTCATGCCTGTAATCCCAGCACTTTGGGAGGCCGAGGTGGGCAGATGACCTGAGGTCAGGAGTTCAAGACCAGCCTCGCCAACATGGTGAAACCCCGTCTCTACTAAAAATACAAAAATTAGCTGGGTGTGGTGGCGGGTGCCTGTAATCCCAGCTACTTGGGAGGCTGAGGCAGGAGAATCGCTTGAACCCAGGAGGTGGAGGTTGCAGTGAGCTGAGATTGCACTCCAGCCTGGGCAACAGGAGCGAAACTCTGTCTCAAAAAAACAAAAAACAAACAAACAAAAAAGGTTTATATGGAGAGGCAAAAGGCCTAGCCAGCACAATATAGAAGGAAAACAAAGTCAAAGTACTGCCACACCTGACTTCAAGACTTTCTATAAAACTGCAGTAATCCAGACAGATAATTGGTATAGTCATTGCTGGAAGGAGTATGAAGGTTCCTCAAAAAATTAAAATATAGAACTACCATATGATCCAGCAATCCTACCACTGAATATATATTCAAAGGATATAAAATCTGTGTGTCAAAGAGATGTCTGCACTTCCATGTTCATTGCAGCATTATTCTTTCTTCTTTCTTTAGAGTTAGGGTGTCACTGCATTGCCCAGCTTGGTCTCAGAATCCTGGCCTTAAGTGGTCATCTTGCCTCAGCCTCCTGAGTAGCTGGATTCCATGTGCGAGCCACCACACCTGGCTGCAGTGTTATTCTCAAGAGCCAAGATATGGAATCAACCTAAGTATCCATTAATGGATGAATGTATAAAGAAAATGTGGTATATATACACAGTGGGATACTATTCAGTCAACAACATGAATGAACCTAGAAGACATTATGTTAAGTGAAATAAGCCAGGCGCAAAAAGACAAACATGATCTCACATATATGTGGAATGTAAAAAAAGCCAAACTCATATACATGGTGAGTAAACCGGTAGTTGTCAGAGGCTGGGAGGTGGGAGGATTGGGGAGGGGTAAGCAAATGACACAAAATTTCTTTTCTTTCTTTCTTTTTTTTTTTTTAAAGACAGAGTCTCGGCTGGGCGCAGTGGCTCAAGCCTGTAATCCTAGCACTTTGGGAGGCCGAGGCAGGCAAATTGCCTGAGCTCAGGAGTTAGAGACTAGCCTGGGCAACATGGTGAAACCCTGTCTCTACTAAAATACAAAAGAAATTAGCCGGGTGTCGTGGCATGCGCCTGTAGTCCCAGCTACTCGGGAGGCTGAGACAGGAGAATTGCTTGAACCCGGGAGGTGGAAGTTGCAGTGAGCTGAGATTGCACCACTGAACCACTGAACTCCAGCCTGGGCAACAGAGAGAGACTCTACCAAAAAAAAAAAAAAAAAAAAAAAAAGACAAGAGTCTCTCTCTGTCACCCAGTCTGGAGTGCAGTGGCATGATCTTGGCTCATTGCAGTCTCTGAATCACTCGGGTTCAAGTGATTCTTGTGCCTCAACCTCCCAAGTAGCTGGGACTATATGCATGTGACACCACATCCAGCTAATTTTTGTATTTTTAGTTTCACCATGTTGACCAGTCTGGTCTCGAACTCCTGACCTCAAGTGATCCACCCGCCTCGGCCTCCCAAAGTGCTGGGATTACAGGCATGAGCCATCATGCCCGACCAACACAAAATTTCAATTAGATAGGAAGAATAAGTTTAAGAGATCTATTGTACTTTATGGTGATTAAACTTAGTAACCACATATTGTATATTTCAAAATTATAAGATAAATTATTTGAAGCATTATTACCACAAAAAGTATGTGAGGTAATGTATATGTTAATGGCTTGCTTTAGCCATTTTACAATGTATACGTATATGAAAACATGATGCTATACACCCAAATATAACTTTTATTTGTCAACCAAAATAATTTAATTTAAAAAAGACAGTGTTGTATTGGCAAAAGAATAGACAAATAGATCAATGAAACAGAATAGAGAACCAAGAAATAGACCCACGTAAATACAGATAAAGGAGCAAAGACAATACAGTGGAGAAAAGACTGTCTTTTCAATAAATGGCACTGGAAAAACTGGACATCCACATGCAAGAAAAGTGAAATGAAAAGAGCTCTCTTGAAAGGTTGTTGTGAAGGTCATCTGTGACAGGAACAAAAAGTGCCCAGCAGGGTCTCTGACAGCAAGCTCCTACATTAATCTAATGGCTGGACTTCAATAGCCTTAGCCCCGTCTCCATAAAACTTTGCTATGAAGGCTACAATGATTCCTGTCAGTCATGCAGTCCTACTAACCTGCTGGGTAGGATACAATATCGAAGGGGCCAGTATACTGCCCTCAGGGGGCTCTGTGGCCTCTTGACCTTGTGGATGATGCTGACCATAATGTTCTGCTTGTCCCTGGCTGAAGACAGGCCCCTCCTGCAGAGGCCAGGCATGAATGCACATCTGAGTAAGACTCTATTATGACTCAAGAATAACAAACATAAATAAATAAACATGATAACATAACAAACTAGGTTTCATTTTCTGCTGCTGTAACAGAATACCACAGACTGGGCAATTTATTAAAATATGTATTTCTTACAGTTCTGGAGGCTGGGAAGTCCAAGAGCATGGTATCAGCATCTTGTGGGGGCCTTCCTGTAGTGTCATCCCATGGTGAAAGAGGTAGGGCAAAGGGGCCAAACATACTTTTTATCAGGAGCCCACTCCCACAATAATGACATTAATCTATTCAACCTAATCAACTCTTAAAGGTCTCCCCTCTTAATACTATCAGAATAGCAATTAAATGTCAACATGAGTTTTGGGGGGTCATTCAAACTGTCAGAGGCATGTGAACCAGAGCAACTCCATCTTGAATAGGGGCTGAGTAAAATAAGGCTGAACCCTACTGGGCCACATTCCCAGACGGTTAAGGCATTCTAAGTCATAGGATGAGACAGAAGGTCAGCACAAGATACAGGTCCTAAAGACCTTGCTGATAAAATGGGTTGCAGTAAAGAAGCTAGCCAAAACCCACCAAAACCAAGATGGTGATGAGAGTGACCTCTGGTCGTCCTCACTGCTACACTCCCACCAGCACCATGACAGTTTACAAATGCTGTGGCAACGACAGGAAGTTACTCTATATGGTCTAAAAAGGGAAGGCATAAATAACCCACCCCTTGTTTAGCATATCATCAAGAAATAACCATAAAGATGGGCAACCAGCAGCCCTCAGGGGTGCTCTGTTGATGGAGTAGCCATTCTTTTGTTCTTTTACTTTTCTAATAAACTTGGTTTACTTTACTCTATGGACTTGCCCTGAATTCTTCCTTGTGCAAGATCCAAGAGCCCTCTCTTGGGGTCTGAATCAAGACTCCTTTCCTGTAACAAAACCTTAGCATTAGGTAATCTGTGGTTTACTTTTTTTTTTTTTTTTTTTTTGAGACAGAGTTTCTACTCTTATTGCCCAGGCTAGAGTGCAATGGCACGATCTTGGCTCAACGCAACCTCCACCTCCAGGGTTCAAGCGATTCTCCAGCCTCAGCTTACCGAGTAGCTGGGATTACAGGCATGTGCCACCATGCCTGGCTAATTTTGTATTTTTGGTAGAGATGGGGTTTCTCCATGTTGGTCAGGCTGGTCCCAACCTCAGGTGATCCTCCTGCCTTGGCTTCCCAAAGTGCTGGGATTACAGGAGTCAGCCACCGAGCCTGGCCTGGTTTATGTATATTTATCTTTATTCCTACATTTCCATGATTATGAGATTCACAGTTCATCCAATAGACTTGAACTGACCCAATGCCCAGCACTTTCTTAAGTTCTTACAGATGAACAAAGCTAATATTCACAGATTCTATTTATTTATGGCTTAGGACTACCTACTGTAAATTACTGGGGGCCAGTCCATTTTGGAGTTCATAACCTAAAGCAGAAACTCAGGTGGCTAATATGTTACTTTCATGAAGGATTGTTATGAGTGTATCATTTCAATTGTCTTGCAGAAGCCTCATTTGTTCTGTTAGATACAGTAAGTTCCTCTTCAAAGGTTCAGCTTCTTCAACTTCCTTGTTCTTTGTTTTCTATTTCTAAAACCCAACTTCCTTGTACTCTCTTGTTCCTAGTTACCCGCTCTGTAAACACCAACTCCCACCAGTTCCAATCTGTAACTTGCAGAGGGCTCTTCCTGCCTTTGCCATGCCCTGACATGTTTTGCACAGTAAAGGATGGCCTCTCTCTTCTCGCTGAAACAGCCCTTCCCGCCCTACTTACTCACACTCCTGCTCCATTTGAAATAGCCAATTGGGATCAGCTTAGATTGTGCAGTCTGACTTCAGCAAATGGGGACAGGACACAGTAGCAGGGGCTGATTGCGTTAGGGATAAAACCCGCTTCTGTCCATTGTTCGGTGTGCTCTCACAGCAGCCAGAAGTGCAAGCAGCACCCTTCTGCAGAAGTAAACTTGCCTTGCTGAGAAATGCTTTTGTTTGAGTGCTTGTCTTCTTTGCGACTCCAAGCTCTTGTTTTTTTTTTTCTAAATAGCTGCTATCTTTTTGTTTTTGTTTTTGTTTTTGTTTTTTTTGAGATGGGGTCTCACCTTGTTGCCCAGGCTGGAGTGCAATGGTGTGATCTCAGCTCATTGCAACCTTGGCCTCCTGGGTTCAAGTGATTCTCCTGCCTCAGTCTCCCGAGTAGCTGGGATTACAGGTGTGTGCCACCATGCCTGGCTAATTTTTTGTATCTTTAGTACAGATGGGGTTTCTCCATGTTGGCCAGGCTGGTCTTGAACTCCTGACCTCATGATCTGCCTGCCTTGGCCTCCCAAAGTGCTGTGATTACAGGCATGAGCCAATGTGCCCAGCCTCTTTTTTTTTTTTTTTTTTTGAGACGGAGTTTCACTCTGTTGTCCAGGCTGGAGTGCAGTGGTGTGATCTTGGCTCACTGCAACCTCTGCCTCCTGCCTCAGCCTCCCGAGTAGCTGGGATGACAGGTGCCTGCCACCATGCCTGGCCAATTTTTGTATTTTTAGTAAAGACAGGGTTTTGCCATGTTGGCAAGGCTGGTCTCCTGACCTCAGGTGATTCACCCACCTCGGCCTCCCAAAGTGCTAGGATTACAGGCATGAGCCACTGCACCTGGCCCCTTGTTTTTAATTTACAAATGTAATTAATTTAGCTTTGTAAACCAAAAAGTGACTGAGGCAGATCTCAATCAATTCGGTGTTCATTTTGCCAAGGTTGAAAATATGCTGGGGGAAAAGAAACATAAGCCACAATAGGACCTGTGACCTGTGCTTTTTCCAAGGAGGATTTTGGGACCTTCAATATTTAAAGGAGAAAGGGCAAGCAGGAGAGGAAAGAAAAAAAAAGGAAGGACAGGTAGGCAATGATGCGAGTGGTTACATACTTGTGAGGCTGTGATTAGTCCTTAGTGAATCTACATTTTACATGTGAAAAGAAGGGAGGGAGGAAGAAGTCAGTTATGCATTCACATCATGTTCAGTAAATCTATATTTTACATAAGCTAAAGTAAGCATGTAAAATTACAGTTATATGTTTGGGAACAAAAGGAAGGCAAATTTTGCATGACTCAGTTTCCAAGCTTAATTTCTTGCATAGCAGTTTGGGGTCCTGAGATTCTATTTTCTTTTCACATTTCTCCCTTGTTATTCAAAATCTTTCAGAGAAAGCATGGTAGAAGAAAATGGGTGTCTGCTCATGGGTTTAGTCTAACCTCTTCTGCTAGAATGATTTATTCCTGGAAGATTAGATCCCATGTTGCTAGGAAGGCTTATTCTTAGGGGCTTGTAAAGTCTCTTGTCCCATGGAGAAAAATAGAGGGAGGAAGAGAGAAAGAAAAAAGGGAAAGAGAGAAAGAAAAAAGGGAAAAAGAGAAACAAAAGGGAGGGACCAAGACCAGATTATAGAAACAAAGGGAATGCAATCCTGGAAAAGTAATTTAGGATATGCTACCGAGAAGTCCATACTTCAGTAGGCAGGCACAAAGGTGGGGTGTGTGAGGCTCTGATTAGTGCTCAGTGAATCTACATTTTATAGGTGAAAAGAAGGGAGTAGAGAAAAAATCTATTATGCATTTGTCTTGCACTTAGTAAGTCTACATTGTACATAAGAAAAAGTAAGCTTGTGAAAATACAGTTATCTGCAAATGCTACTATTTCTGCTATTACGCTACAAAGTTTAAATTTTCTAGCTTCAGTTTGCAGGGCTGTAAGAAAAGCACAGTTTTAATTTCTAGTGATTCCAAGTGAGAAAAATGGGAGAAATTTTTCTTTTGAAAATGTTACTTTGGAGACTTATAGCCAGGGAAGAATTCAGGATCTAGTCTGAATAAATTGTAGACAAATAGTGAAAACTGAAAAACAATGGACAAGGCTAGAATCTTATAATGAGTATACTATAATTTTCTTTGAAATAATTTTTCTCTCTCCAGTCCCCTATTTTTACCAAAATCAAAATCATAGTGGGACCAACGTATCTGCAAAATAAGTTTTAGTCTTATTATACTTGGTCTGATTATTTGCATAAAGCGCAGCAAGAATAATTATTGGCCAATAGGCTCTTTTTTTTTTTTGAGACAGAGTTTCCACTCTTGTTGCCCATGCTGAGTGCAATGGTGCAATCTCAGCTCACTGCAACCTCTGCCTCCCGGGTTCAAGCGAGTCTCCTGCCTCAACCTCCCGAGTAGCTGGGATTACAGGCATGCGCCACCAAGCCCAGCTAATTTTGTATTTTTAGTCAGGACGGGGTTACTCCATGTTTGTCAAGCTGGTCTCGAACTCCCAACCTCAGGTGATCCATCCGCCTCGGCTTCCCAAAGTTCTGGGATTACAGGCCTGAGCCACTGTGCATGGCCCTAGGCTCTTTTTGAATTGGTTTTGCTAGAGCTTTTCATAAGGAATCTCAGATTAGAGTTTTTCTTGAGTCCAGCCAAGGATTTATCTGTGCCTGCAGATACTTGTATGAATGAGGTAAATTTCTGTCTTCTCAAGGTCTCAAAATAACGTGTGGTTCTTAGGTCTGTGAGAAAGTGATATTCTTACTTACTACCTGTCAGGAACCCTGTAAAGGAAATGCGTAGACAAAGTATGAGGTCAGTTTTTCCAAGGGTTTTTTTTTTTTTTAATCAGTTCTATAACATCAATCTCAAGTTCTCAAAGCAGTCTGCTTATATCTTAAAATATGGCATTCTAGCCAAAGCCTTGGTAAAATAATCAGTGTCAAAATTATGTCCTGTTAAGAAAGAAAACAGATTTTTATTAAACTCATGCAACTAAGTATATTGCCATAAATCATGAATACTCAGAAATAAGGCCAGGCGTGGTGGCTCATGCCTGTAATCCCAGCACTTTGGGAGGCTGAGGCAGGCAGATCATGAGGTCAGGAGATCGAGACCAGCCTGACCAACATGGTGAAACCCTGTCTCTACTAAAAATACAAAAATTAGCCAGGCGTGGTGGCGGGTGCCTGTAATTCCAGCTACTCAGGAGGCTGAGACAGGAGAATCACTTGAACCCGGGAAGCAGACATTGCAGTGAGCTGAGATCGCCCCACTGCACTCCAGCCTGGGAGATAGAGCAAGACTCCTTCTCAAAAAACAAACAAACAAACAAAATCTCAGAAATAGTTTCTGAATTCTGGAGAAATCAGGTAGAGAGAAAGAAATATGCCTCAAATTTTGCTTACAAGAGTACGCTTCATTGTGAAAAGCTGTAAATGTTCAAAAGAAAAGTTTTCTTGACTCTGAAAAACAAAGCAAAAAGAATCAGCAATGTTTCCAACAAAAAAAGTTATAAAAGATTATTTTGGCCAGGCGTGGTGGCTCACCTGTAATCCCAGCACTTTGGGAGGCCAAGGCGGGTGGATCAGAAGGTCAGGAGTTTCAGACCAGCTTGGCCAACATGGTGAAACCCCATCTCTACTAAAAATACAAAAAATTAGCTGAGCGTGGTGGTGCACATCTGTAGTCCCAGCTACTTGGGAGGCTGAGGCAGGAGAATCACTTGAACCCAGCAGGTGGAGGTTGATGGTGAGCTGAGATCATGCCACTGCACTCCAGCCTGGGCAACAGAGCGAGACTCCATCTCAAAATAAATAAAATAAAATAAAATAAACCCCTCTAACTAGGCAGAATTACTTTTCCTTTAACAAAAGCCCTATTTCCATGCCTTCTTATGTTTCTACCAAAAACCACATTCTACTTTTCTTTGCATGTTGCTTGTAGAATTATTTATCTTATATCTAGTAATTTAAATTACATCTATGAATTGTAATGTTAACTCTTAGTAACTCTTATTTTTAGTGAAAAAACTAGGAGGTACACAATTTTAATTAGTACCTCCTGCAGAACGCAATCTCGGCTCACTGCAACCTCCGCCTCCCAGGTTCAAGCGATTCTTCTGCCTCAGTCTCCCAAGTAGCTGGGACTACAGGTGTGTGCCACTACGCCCGGCTACTTTTTTTTATTTTTAGCAGAGATGGAGTTTCACCATGTTACCCAGGACGGTCTCAATCTCCTGACCTTGTGATCCGCCCGCCTTGGCCTCTGAAAGTGCTGGGATTACAGGCGTGAGCCACCGTGCCCGGTCTATCATAGGATCTTATAAGGAGATCAACTGCATTTAGATAGGTGCTTTTAATTTGGCCTGTATCTTTTAACTGGACCATTGAACTCAGGGTAGAGCCCACACTGAATTTTCAGTGCCCAGAAAGAGAGTAATGCCATGGGGACCTGGCCATACAATATTTTTAGTGTGTTTTGCTACAAAAACTTTCTCTCAAGGCTGGTGGGCAACCCAGTGCCAATCAGCCCACTCTGTGATCAGCCCATTTCCCAGCCATTGTATACGCCAAAGTCAAGTTTTCTCACAATATAAAGTGATTTCTGATCCCATTCAAAGCCAAAATCAGGTCATGCAAGGCAAAGGAACAGAGTTTTTGACCTGAGAGGATTTTGTCCTCTCTTGGATTCCCTCTTGGGATTCCCTGAGGAAAAAACAGCAGTTTCTCACAAAAATGCGTCTGTGGTGCCTTTTGCATTTTTCTTAAGGGATCCCAGGCTATTAGAATTTTATTTAATTTAATTTTTTTCTTATGTGGCACCAAGGTTGGCAAGAGGAAGGAGGGGCTGATAGAAATAAATAGGGGAGGCCGGGCGCAGTGGCTCATGCCTGTAATCCCAGTACTTTGGGGGGCCGAGGTGGGTGGATCACTAGGTCAGGAGTTCGAGATCAGCCTCGCCAATATAGTGAAACCCCGTCTCTACTAAAAATACAAAAATTAGCTGGGTGTGGTGGCAGGCGCCTGTAGTCCCAGCTACTTGGGAGGCTGAGGTGGGAGAATCGCTTGAACCTGGGAGGTGGAGGTTGCAGTGAGCTGAGACCACGCCATTGCACTCCAGCCTGGGTGACAGAGTGAGACTCCGTCTCAAAAAAAAAAAAAAAAAAAAAACAAAGAAATAGGGAAACAGAGGAAGTGCATGTGGCTAGCAGGGGGTTGAAAAAGAGAGACATTTAGTTGACTGAGAAATGTTTACCCAGGGAGAAAAGAGACCTTAAAGCAATATGTACACACTGAAGTCTAAAATATCAGTTTTAATTAAGTCAAATTTTGACTATAGAGCTCTAAAAAAATCCTTTGACATCTCTTATTACCAGATTTTAGCCAGGAGGAACAGTTGATATTCCTGGCTTTTCACCTTCTTTACCAAAAGGTATCCTCCCAAGTGCCTTAACCAAAGTTATGACTATTAGGCCACAAGGTGGGTGGCCCTTAGTTGTTCCCTGATGAGGTGGCAAACCTGAGCCATGGCAGAAGTGTTTAATGTTTTTTTTTTTAGTTTTGCTCTGTTGCCCAGGCTGGAGCACAGTGGTGTGATCTCGGCTCACTGCAGCCTCCGCCTCTCAGGTTCAAGCGATTCTCCTGCCTCAGCCTCCTGAGTAGCTGGGACTACAGGTGCCCACCACCACACCCGACTAATTTTTGTATTTTTAGTAGAGACAGGGTTTCACCATGTTGGCCAGGATGGTCTCAATCTCTTGACCTCGTGATCCGCCCACCTCGGCCTCCCAAAGTGCTGGGATTACAGGCATGAGCCACCGCACCCGGCTGAGAAGTGTTTAATTTTAACTACCAGAAGTGTTTGAAGTGATTTTTTTGCTCTTAATTTAGTCAAGGGAATTTTTGAAGACTAGCCATGACACTACTATGTGTCCTTTTAAGACTTGATGTTTCCATTAATTGTTTAGAATAAGAAATCTCTGAAATCTTTAATAGCCCACAGAGAGAGGCTGGGAAGGTGTTCCTGTTATATAAATGAAACCTCTCAGGTAGTCAAATTTTATCTTTTTTTAACCAGCTGGGGGTTTTACAGGTGCAACCTGACTTTCTGCAGCTGTGGGCTTTCCAGTATAGCTCCTGGGCCAGGGATCTCTATCTGCTCCCCAGAGGCTTGTACCTAAGATACAGGGCTCCCTGGGCTTCTCAGTACAGGTGGACTTAAACTAATGGGCTAGAAACAGAGAAAGGGAGGTAGAATTTCCCACTTACAGCCAGACCCTGCAGCACAGCTTTCCAGAGCCTCAGCCCCCCTGCCCTGGCTGATGCTCCCTCCCTGACTCCCCTCACCAGGGCCCTGGCCCCACCACACAGCTGAGCTGGCCCAAGCCAAAGAGTTGCTGGAGCAGCAGCTGGAGTGGATCAGGCTCTGCTGGAGGGGGTGGGGGGCCCAGGCCCTGATGGTCAAGATCCAGAACCTGAAGAAACAGATAAGGAAGGAGGCACCAAGAGAGCCTGGGAGGAGACACCCAAGCTTCCCACCAGTGCCTGTGGCACCCCTCAGCATTGGAAATACTGTGCACCACCCCCAGGAACCCCAGGATCAGAAATATCCCAGCTGCTCCCAGGCCACTGGGAAAATGGAAGAGACCACAAAAGGCCAGAAGTTAGCAGTGTGATGGTTAATACTGAGTGTCAACTTGGTTGGATTGAAGGACGCAAAATACTGATCCTGGGCATGTCTGTGAGGGTGTTGCCAAAGGAGATTAACATTTGAGTCAGTGGACTGGGAAAGGCAGACCCACCCTAAATCTGGGTGGGCACCATCTAATCAGCTGCTAGCGTGGCCAGAATATAAAGCAGGGAGAAAAATGTGAAAAGGCTAGACTGGCCTCCCAGCCTACATCTTTCTCCCATACTGGATGCTTCCTGCCCTCGAACATCGAACTCCAAGTTCTTCCGCTTTGGGACTCGGACTGGCTTCCTTGCTCCTCAGCTTGCAGGCGACCTATTGTGGGACCATGTGATCATGCGAGTTAATACTACTTAATAAATCCCCCTTTATATATATATTTATTCTGTTAGTTCTAGAGAACCCTGACTAATACAGGCAGGTAGTGGGGAGCCAGGGCTCTGCAGTCTCAGTCCCATGCCTCCTTTGACCTCACAGCAGTGCACCTCAGCCTTACAGGAATTTACCCTGGATCATGTCCTACAATAACCTCTCCCCAAACACAGTAAGAAGATGTAGCATGCAGATACCACAGACACACATGTGTTCCATTTTTCATTAGGATTTTTTTTTTTTTTTTGAGATGGAGTTTCCCTCTTGTTGACCAGGCTGGAGTGCAAAGGTGCGATCTCGGCTCACTGCAACCTCTGCCTCCTGGGTTCAAGCGATTCTTGAGCCTCAGCCTCTCGAGTAGCTGGGATTACAGGCGCTCGTCATCACGCCCGGTTATTTTTGTATTTGTAGTAGACGCTGGGTTTCTCCATATTGGTCAGGCTGGTCTTGAACTTCTGACTTCAGGTGATCCACCCGCCTCGACCTCCCAAAGTGCAGGGATTATATGCGTGAGCCACCGCGCCCAGCCTAGTTAGGATTTTTAAAATTCTGACAATCAGGAATGGGGGTTCAGGAGTGGTGCTGATGCAGAGGAGGGAAGCCATGGGGTGGGGGCTGTTAGGGGTGGAGGCAGTAGTGTCTCCTTCACCCCCACCCTGGGGTCTTCTCCTGAAGGACAGACTATCACATCCCAGAATTGGTGAGTCCTCTACTGTGTCTGTTCAACTGAAGAGAAAATATGGCACAGTCAGAATAAGGCATGAAAAGGGGAAAGTGAGGCATGAACACACGGCACACATGCAGACGCTGGTGTACTGTGTGGGTTCAGAGGACGGACGTGGGGGTGAGGGAAGGGATGTAATATGATGAGAGAAGACAGAAACCCCACATAAAGGTCAGGAAAACATCCCAACACAGCATCAAAGGCCAGGGGGCATGAACCAGTCAAGTGTCCATTATGCATCAGATGCCCATGACCTATGTGATGAGATTGAAGAAAAACATACTAAGGTTCAGGGAGGAACTAAGTGTTTCATGAGATCAGCACTCACCGTGGAGGAGACATCTGTCTCATCAGGCAGCTCACTAACACTGACCTCGAAGCGATGCTGCCCATCACACTGGATCCTTGCATGATTCTCATCTGACACAAACGCTGATGGCCAAGCCCTGTTCCAAACCAGCCTGCTCTAGTCACCTGAAAGGAGGCAGAGGGTAGAAACAGAAGACCCAAAGAGGGAAGACACCCAGAGGGAGGGAAGAGGATGTAAGGTGTGAAAAGATAGAAAACATAAGGAATGGGAGAGTAGGTGTCCTTCTGGGTGTGGGGCTCACCTGTCATTGATAAAGGCAATGCTCATCCACTTGATGTCTATGACGTGGCCCAATAGGTTGGTAACCATAGAACTGGTCATTGAAAATCTTTTGGGGTCATTCTTGGACATGTGCAGAACAGCAAACAATTTTAGTCACCTGATGTGTTTCCTTGGCTTCCTGTTCAGTTTTCCTTAGGCCTCAGCTGCTGCTATTGCTGCTGGCTGCTCTCCACATTCTCCTAAATTCCAGATGGGTGTGAGGAGGTAAGGGCGGGAAGAAATAGTGGATTGTGGATTGAGGTGCGATTTCCCACCACTGGAGGGGACAGATTCATAAGCTGGCATTGAAGAGGTTCCTGCCCTTTGCACAGTGTGTTTGGTCACCCCAGTGCTCAGGCTGAACCCTGAGAAGAAAGAGGAACTTGACTGTCTGAAGGCTCTTGGGTGGTGTTTAAGACCCCTGGCCACTGTGTCCTGGCTGAATGCATACATGCAGATGGAATCTCTTTCTTTCTTTTTTTTTTTGAGACGGAGTCTCGCTCTGTCTCCAAGGCTGGAGTGCAGTGGCGCAATCTTGGCTCACTGCAAGCTCCGCCTCCTGGGTTCACGCCATTCTCCTGCCTCAGCCTCCTGAGTAGCTGGGACTACAGGCACCCGCCACCACACCCGGCTAATTTTTTGTATTTTTAGTAGAGACAGGGTTTCACTGTGTTAGAATGGTCTCGATCTCCTGACCTGGCGATCCGCCTGCCTCGGCCTCCCAAAGTGCTGGGATTACAGGCATGATCCATTGCACCTGGCCTCGATATAGAAGTTTTTAAGAGCCAGACGCTTGAACTTGTGGGCATCGGTTTGGGGAAAGAGTCAGTTGGAGTAAAGTTATCTTGAGGCATTAACTTTTTTGCTTCTTAAGGCCATTGGTCTTTTATGCTAGTCTTTCTACAAACATAACATGAGGAAACGCCTAGGCTGGCAGCAATGTTTTCAGCCAGCTGAACAAATAGGTTTTTGGCTAAAGGAGGAGGCTCTGATAACTTCCGGTTTATATGCTCAAAGAATGACTTAAAGACTCAGAATTGCTCCTGGGCTGACTGCTTGGTTCAAGTCTTCTTTATAATATACAAAGTTGTTTTAGCTTTTTGACCGTAGCTTTGTAATGCCATGGAGTAGCCTATAGTCCATACAGGTAGGTTTGGCCTTAAGATAGTAAGATTTACAGGATTGCAAATGCTTGTCTTACAATCTGGTTTTGCTGGTACTTTGATGAGCAAGATTGGCTTTGGCCTCAGTGATGATCGGTCAGTGAACTGCATTGTGCAGTTCCAGCAAGCTATTGCTAGGGCCTTGGAGGGACAAACAGGGAGTGTACATACAATTTTATACTGGCAGTTTTTATAGTACTTTGTAGGACTAGAGATTGTGAGATAGGTTGGGTTCATGGATGTTAACTGACAAATATCAAAGTATATGGATATAGCCCCCACCCTGGGAAGGAGAGGCTTGGGTTTGACTTACAAGACTTCTTTTTTTTTTTTTTACTTGTATGAATCTTAAACTAAGTCCTAGGTAAAGACTTCGGTCATAGCATATATAAGGCTGGCCATTTCTTGGGTCACAAATTGAACAGGTGGTCTGATTATAAGTACAAGTTCTTTTTTTTTTTTTTGAGACGGAGTCTCGCTCTGTCTCCAAGGCTGGAGTGCAGTGGCGCAATCTTGGCTCACTGCAAGCTCCGCCTCCCGGGTTCACGCCATTCTCCTGCCTCAGCCTCCCGAGTAGCTGGGACTATAGGAGCCCACCACCACGCCCGGCTAATTTTTTTTTTTTATTTTTAGTAGAGACGGGGTTTCACCGTGTTAGCCAGGATGGTCTCGATCTCCTGACCTTGTGATCCACCCGCCTCGGCCTCCCAAAGTGCTGGGATTACAGGCGTGAGCCACCGCGCCCAGCCTTATAAGTACAAGTTCTTAAGCGAGTCTTTGTACACTTATAAGTATGGTACAACAGAGTTCTAGTTATACTGTTCTTTGACTAAGTAGTATGTGTACAGTGGGGACACTTTTCTGTCAGTGTTTCTTCTAGTATGGTTAAGGGGGTAACAACATCAAAACAATGTACAGCATATTTAAATCTAGCAAGGACAAAAGAGGTCTTTATTTGGGGGAGGAGGTTGAGCACAGTGACAGAACAATAGGAAAACAGTTAGTATTACAGGAAAACTACTAGTCTTAAGATTTCTAACTACATTTACTTGCTTGATGAGTCTTTAAGCTTCAGCCGTGCATAGACTAGTCAGCTTCCGGTGTGTGACTAGAGCAAGGCTTGTTGTTTCTTCAAACTTCAGCTGTGCGTAGACTGGTCAGCCACCGGAGTGACCAGAGCAGGGCTGTCGTCTTCAGCAGCAGCTTGGTCTTGTCTCAGGATCAGCCGGGTTGGATGATCTGGGTGTTGCTGGCTGGTTCACTTGTCCTGAGCTGCCGATTTTAGCCGACTGTGATGGAGTTAAGGCACGATTCTTGCAACTTTAACAGCAGTGGGAGTGGACAAGATTACTCTGTGGGGCTTATCTTACATGGGTCTTAGAGAAGTTGGGTTCTACTTTTTAACTTAAACAAAGCTACTAGGTTTAAAGGGTTTACTGGGTCTGTTAGACTTCTAGGCATTCTTTTATGTACTTAACTATGAACACTTTGCATGGCTGTTTCTAAAGCCTGCATTTGATTTCTTAAGGTTAGTTCTTTTAGTTCTTGGAGATCACTTTTAATTTGACGGTGGCTGATTGAACAAAATCTTATAGGGTAAATACTTAGTTTGTTTGGTGGGGGTGCGCTTGGCTCAGAGGAGGACTATAGGCAAGACTTGATTCTGTCTCAGATGAGTTTCTTGGCAATATTTCTTCAGTAGCTGCTTGAGTGTCTGGTTCATGCATTCTACAGTAAAATAATCTTTTTTTCTCTTTTTTTCCTTCAACTTTGCTCTAGAAAAAAGAAGTGTCCAAGGCCTATTTTTTTAGCCCTAGCTATTCAGACAGTGTTATCTTATAACTGTCCTTGGGTTGGGCACAGTGGCTCACGCCTGTAATCCCAGCACTTTGGGAGGCCGAGGTGGGCAGATCACGAGGTCAGGAGATCGAGACCATCCTGGCTAACATGGTGAAACCCTGTCTCTACTAAAAATACAAAAAATTACCCAGGTGTGGTGGTGGGTGCCTGTAGTCCCAGCTACTCGGGAGGCTGAGGCGGGAGAATGACGTGAACCTGGGAGGCAGAGCTTGCAGTGAGCCGAGATCGTGTCATGGCACTCCAGCCTGGGTGACAAAGCGAGACACCATCTAAAAAAAAATATATGTATAAAACTGTCCTTGAGGTAAGCTTGCTAAGCAGAAAAAAACTTGTTCTTTTCTTTTTCTTTTTAACTTTTGCCTTGCCACATTCTAAGCCTTAGCTTTAACTTTTCTTAAAGTAAGTAAATGTAATACTTATTATTATTATTATTATTTTTAAATTTCTGCCTCAGAATGAATAAATTACATGTATTTTTTTTTTTGAAGCCATGCCTTTGGATTAGGGCAGACTCTAGGATATTTAAGTGAATTCCCTGAGGAATGTGGACACTGTAAGCAGGTGAGTGCATTATTCTCTGCTTCTCTCTCCCCACAGGGCCGTCGTTCACCCTCCTCCACCTTGTCCCCTGCACTGGGAGGCAACCACAACAGGCACGGCCCATGCTCCTGCACCACCTGGCTTCTGCTTGGGTGTGGATGATAACAGGCACCTGCAGGAGATGGGAGCATGCGGGGAGAAGTAACTCAGGGTTTTCATTTCCCTCACTCCCTCTGGACAGCTCTGTGGTTCCGTAATCATTGCCGTCCTCTACCTACAGCCACAGGCATGTGGGTCTGCCCCTAGTGAAAGCTACAGATTTCCTTGGGTTCTGGAAACTGCTCCGTTCGTTGCTCTTTCAAGCTTCAAGATGAAAACAGTTTCCTGCCAGGAATAATCCCAGGGAGCTTCAGCGCCCTTTGTGGCTTTCTTAGCCCTGCCGGCACCTGTGTAGAAGGTGCCATCTCAGGCCAGCGCGGTGGCTCAAACGTGTAATCTCAGCACCTTGAGAGGCCGAGGCCGGAGGATCACCTGAGGTTGGGAGTTCAAGACCAGCCTGACCAACATGGAGAAACCCTGTCTCTACTAAAAATAAAAAATTAGCTGGGCATGGTGGCGCATGCCTGTAATCCCAGCTACTCGGGAGGCTGAGGCAGGAGAATTGCTTGAACCCAGGAGGCAGAGGTTGTGGTGAGCCGAGATCACACCATTGCACTCCAGCCTGGGCAACAAGAGTGAAACTCAGTCTTGGAAAAAAAAAAGGTGCCATCTCTTTCCTGCCAGGTCCCTGACTGACCACAGGGTGCTCCCACAAAAGGAGAAGTGACAAGAATGTATTTAAGACATTGCACTAACACATCTATTCATGATGTTAATTCAAAAAATTGACTTACTACAATAAAAGGGAAAAATAAGAGTATTCTGGAAACAGAGCAAGAAGGAAGGCAAAGGTGAAAACAATCAATTTGGGGCATCTGAGAAGCCCCAAGTGCAGAGGCTGCCCTGAGTCTTTAGAGGACAAGAAACAGAACACACGACCCAAAAGTGAGAGACAGAGCCTGGCCGGAGCAGGATGATAACGGCTCTCCTACAGAGTACTATTCCTGTAAATCTCTGACGAGAGGGGTGAGATCAACATGTAAAAATACACACACACAAAGTGGAGCTGAGGGCAGGATGGAGAACTGTCATTCTCAGCCCGTGACCTCCATGGACTTGGAGAAAGACTCAGCCTGGAGATGTGTGAGGCCTCCGACCTGGAGCAGCACCCGCCCCTAAAGACCAGGCACAAATCCCAGCACACGGAGGGATCCAGACAAATACACAAGAAATGACCACAGCAGGAACTTTATTGAGCACGGAGCAAGGTTGCACACCACTCAGCACCTGCCCCTCCACCTGCCCTTCTCTCCCCACCTGCCTCTGCCCCAGCACAGCAGGTCCTCAGAATCCAAAAAGAGAACCTAACCTGCATGTTCTCTCTCTCTCTTTCTTTCTTTTTTTTTTTTTTTGAGACAGAGTTTATCTCTTGTTGCCAGGCTGGAGTGCAATGGCGTGATTTCGGCTCACTGCAACCTCCACCTCCTGGTTCAAGCAATTCTCTTGCCTCAGCATCCCGAGTAGCTGGGATTACAGGCAGCTGCCACCACACCCAGCTAATTTGTGTATTTTTAGAGATGGGGTTTTCACCATGTTAGCCAGGCTGGTCTCGAACTCCTGACCTCAGGTGATCTGCCTATCTTGGCTTCCCAAAGTGCTGGGATTACAGGCGTGAGCCACCACGCCTAGCCTCCATGTTCTCTTAATAGTTTGTAATATCTTATCACAGCTTCAAAGAAAGGATATGAGAATAATAACTCATAGAGCAAGATATCTATTTAGAGGGAGTGAGTCACAGGGGAGATCTGGGAGGGAAACACTGCAACTCTTTCATTCCCAGAAAAAGATTGATCCAGGGAAGGGGACACCGGGCCTGGATATTGGGATTATGTGGAAGGGGTTCTGGGACATCAGGGGAATGGGCCCCTCTCCCTATATCCTTCCTGGGCTATGCTTGGGAGGAGACACAGTTTATCAGCTGTGCAGCTGGGGGAAGAGAAGTCAGGGTCCAGAGACAAGGGGAGCTGAGAACAATCTGTGTCTTGCTGGTCTGCAGAAGGCAGCTCTCAAACTGTGGAGAACAGTTTGGGATGATGAAAATGTTCTAAAATTAGATATGGTGATTTAAAAATCCAAATATGTGAAAAACCATTGAATTGTATACTTTAAATGGGTGAATGATATGTGAATTATATCTTAAGAAAGTTTAAGGAAAGAAATATAATGATGTGTCATGACAAATCCACTAGAATTTCTAAATTAAAATCACTGACTATTCCAAATGTTGGTGCGAATATGGACCATCAAGAGCTGTCACACACTTTGTCTAGCAGTGTGGCATCATCTTTTTGGGTGGGATATCATATACATACACCAGTAATTCCACTCTTAGGCATATAATTTTGAAAGATATATGCTCATTGTGCCAACATACATGTGCAAGAAGGCTTACAACAGCATTGTTTATAATTTTTAAAACCTGAAAACAAATAAAATGACCACAAACAAAGAAGGATTAATTTAATGTGTGGAATTCTATGAATAATAAACATGAACGCTCTAGAGACACCTATAACAACTTAGCAAACATACATTTGAGCTAAAATAAGGTCTCATAAGAATACACATAGCACGATTCCATTTGTATCAAAAGATTCAAAATCTATATGAAGTTTGAGATAACCTATATTGTTTTAGAGATGTATGCATGGGAGTAAAGCTTTAAAGAAAGGCGTGAACAGGATTACTATGAAATCAGGATGAGGGTGAACTCTCATGACAGCAAAGGGATTGTTATTGCTATCAGGATTGGTATGGAAACTTCTGTGTGTTTTTTTTCCTGACTTTTGTTTCTTTTTCACATGGATTTTCCCTTTAAAACCATTTGTTAAAATGTAAATATAATTCAGGCACTTCACTTTTGGTTGTAACTTACACTGTAAGACTGCTAAAAAAAAATAATATTAGCTACTTACGTGTAATTGGAAAAATTAACCTTTATTCACAAAAGAGATGGGCTGCCCCCTACACCACGAATCAGAGAAGAGACCATGAATTGAAATGGGAACTTGGAATTGTCATTATTCCGTAATTATACTCAGGATCCTGTCCATGAAACATTGGAATACCACTGTCCAACCCCCTTCTGCAGTGATGGAGTGTCTATATCTGAGCTATTCATTATGGCACAGATACAGACATTCATATTCTGTGAATTCTGAGTACTTGAAATATATGGCTGGTGCAAATAAGAAACTGGCTTTTAAAATCCATTTAATTTTAATTAATTAAAGTGTAAATAGTGCCATGTGGACAAGGCAGAATTACAGTGCCGAGACCAGCTCAGTCGGGGAGACCCTAACCCAGTGGCGCTAGAGGAATTAAAGACACACACACAGAAATATGGCGTGTGGGGTGGGAAATGAGGAGTCTCACAGCCTTCATTCCAGTAAACAGTCATTGTGACCAGTTGTCCCGCTTTCCTCAGGTTTTCTTCCACCATCTGTGACAGCTTCTTGATCTGTCCCCAGGTGGGTGGCTGTGTTCAACGGGTGTTGCTCGTGACAGTTAGGGTCCTCCTCAGCATCAGTCTCGACATGGCTGCAACCAGGGGGTCCTCGGGATCCTCCTGGAATCTCTTCCTTGGCATCTGGCTCATGATAAGGTTTTAGGTGTCTTGATAGTATCCAAATTGGCTGCTGGTTTTGGCCTGGAGAAACACAAGCATAACCTCTACCCAAGTTATTATTTTACCTATGTCCCAACTTTTTGTTATTGGATCTCTTCACCAAACCAGTTGTTCTGCTCCTGTCTTTGCAGCTGGTTTCTGTAGATGCTGTTCAGCTGCTGATAACATCTGGCCTTTGGGCAGCCTCAAAAAATTTAAAGTTAATAATGCTAGATTCAGTTGTGTATGGGCTGTCTCGTAATCCCTGTTTCTCCCCCTTTTTTGTTTTTGTCATCAGTTGTTCATCTGTATAAATCATAACTGAGCATTTTCAATTAACTGCGTGGAATGAACCATGTATAAAGAATCAGAAATCACATTAACAGGCATATCAAAAGCAGTCAGCACCTCAATTACAGCTACAAGCTCTGCTTTCTGAGCTGAAGTATAGGTTGCCTGGAAAGCTTTACCTTTTGATCCAGAATAAGAAGCTTTACCATTGCTAGACCCATCTGTGAAATAATGAAAATGCTTAGCAGGCTGCAGATTGTTTACCACAGGAATTGTAAATGCAAACCGTTCACTGTCTTGCTTAGCTAAGGGTATAGTAAAGAAAGAGTCCTTCCTGGCTGTAATGCTCCTATAGCTTGTATAACTGAATTAATGGCTCCTAAATCAGTTAACATTCTCCATTTACCTGATTTTTTCTTAATTACAAAAACCGGAGAATTCCAAGGGGAAAGTGTTGTAGCTATGTTCTCATTTTCTAATTGTACATTAACGAAGTTCTCTAAAGTCTCCAGTTTCTCTTTACTTAGCAGCCACTGTTCTATCCAAATTGGCTTATCTGTTAACCATTTTAAAGGTATAGGTTCTGGAGGCTTAACAATGACTGCCATCAAAAATGATACCCTAAACCTTGGCGGGAACTTTGTCTCTCCACTTGAAGCATTTTTTTTCAAACCTTGCAAATTTTTTCCTAGTCCCATACCAGGGACATGCCCCATTTCATGCATCATATGTTGACTTTGAGGGCTATATAATTGCTCTGGAAGTAGAACTTGTGCTCCCCATTGTTGTAATAAATCTCTCCCCCATAAATTTATAGGTACGGAAGTTATAATTGGTTGAATAGTCCCAGGTTGTCCATCGGGACCTTCACAATGCAAAATATAATGGCTTTGATATACTTCAGGGGCTTTACCAACTCCAACTGTTTTAAGTTGAGTGTGTTGAACTGGCCACGCAGACGGCCAGTGCTGTCGAGAAATGATTGAAATGTCCGCTCCTGTATCTACCAAATCTTTACATTTCTTTCCCTGAATAGTTATTTCACAGGTAGGACGTTTATCAGTAATTTGATTCACCCAATAAGCTGTTTTGCCTTGTTTATTTGTGCTTCCAAATCCTCCTGTTTGTTTAATTTCACTCTTCCCATTCCCACATACGGCACAATCAGGAGCTGTGCTATACACTCTCCTGGCTCTGCTTTCCAGGGAACAGAAGTAGATATAACAATTTGAATTTCCCCATTGTAATCTGAATCAATGACCCCTGTATGTATTTGTATGCCTTTTAAACTTAAACTAGGCCTTCCTAGAAATAATCCTATCGTTCCCGCTGGCAAGGGTCCACAGACCCCTGTTGGGACCTTTTGCAGGGTTTCCCCAGGCAGAAGCCTCACAGCTTTTGTGCAACATAAATCTACTGTGGTGCTACTGGCTGTGGCGGGGGACAGATATTGTACAAGGATGAGGGAATGGCCTGAGCCAGAAATGCCCCGGTTTGGAATGGGGCCCCGGGATGGGCCCCTCATGGTGTTTCCTGAAATCAGGTTCCCATCTTTATCAAACTTAGAGTGACACTGATTAGCCCAATGTTTTCCTTTTTTGCATTTTGGACATATTTCAGGCTCAGTAGTTTTCTTTTTTTCCCCTATATGGTGGCCTGACTTGCTGATTTTTTCTACATTGTTTTTTAGTGTGATCATGCTTCAAACAGTTAAAACAAGCTCCAGGAAATGGAGTATTTCCTTTATCCACTCTCAGTCCTGCCATTGCCTGTGCCAACAAAGTAGCTTTATGCAGATTACCTCCGATACCGTCACAGGCCTTGATATAATCAACTAAATGTGCTTTCCCTCTAATAGGTCGCAAAGCAGCCTGGCAATCGAGATTAACATTGCCAAAAGCTAATAACTGCAACACTATATCCTGAGCAGCTGAATCTGAAATCACCTTTTTAAGAGACTCCTGTCTTAAGAGATTCCAAGCTATAAAATCTGCATACAGTTCTTTTGGTCCCTGTTTTACAGCACTAAAGGAAGGGTATTGTTCTCCACCTGAAGTGATTTTTTCCCAAGCTCTAATGCACACTCCTCTAAGCTGCTCTACGGCATCATCCTGTATGACCACTTGTGCGTCTAAACCAGCCCAGCAGCCGACCCCCAAAAGTTGGTCCATGTTATATTAATTTGAGTTTCGGCCTGGGCATTGCAAGCAGCCTGAATGGAAGCTTCATCTGCCCACCAAGTTTTAAATTGTAAGAATTGAGCAGGACTTAGACAAGCTCGAATAAGAGTGTCCCTGTCAGTAGGAATCATCCGACTGGAAACAGCAACATTCTTTAACAGTCCCATTACAAAAGGAGAACCTGGTCCATACTGATTAATAGCTTGTTTAAATTATTTGAGTAATTTAAAAGGAAAAGGCTCAAATGTAGCTATAATATTTCCCTGTTGATCAGGTGGTGTATTCTAACAGGGAACTGCCAAGCCTCTATATCACCCTCTCGTCTAGCCTGCTGAACTCCTGCCTGAATAGAACTGACAGCAGTCGCTCGAGGTGCTGCTCAGTCACTGGGGCAACTACTTTTCGCCCAGTGTCCTCCAGAAAAGAAAGATCTGGAGGGTCTGGCCACTCTTTTTCTTCAAAATAATAATGAGGGGGTGCAGAAGGGTAGGGATGAACCTCTTCCTCCTGTGCCACTTTAGCTTTAGCTGGCAAATAAACCTGCTCTGTAACCTCTTCTGTTACTTCGTCATACTCTCCTTCCTCCTCATCATCAGTGTGAAAAAGTTCCAAGGTGGAACGAACCAGAGCCCACACTTGTCCCATTGTTACCCGATGCTTCCAAGCTCCCCATCTTACTCACTACGAGGATTGCTTAAGAGTACTTGGGTGTCCTCCAGCTTAGTTCCCCATTCTCCAACTGTTGCTCTGGCGACCCTTCAACCTGGATTCGAGCCCCCACGTATGGGTGCTGCTTACTGAGACCAGCTTGGTGGGGGAGACCCTAACCCAGCAGAGCTAGAGGAATTAAAGATACACACACAGAAATATAGAGGTGTGGAGTGGGAAATCAGGGGTTTCACAGCCTTCAGAGCCAAGAGCCTTGAACAGAGATTTACCCATGTATTTATTGACAGCAAGCCAGTGATAAGCATTGTTTCTATAGATTATAGATTAACTAAAAGTGTTCCTTACAGGAAACAAAGGGATGGGCTGAAATGAAGGGATGGGCTCTGGCTAGTTATCTGCAGCAGGAGCATGTCCTTAAGGCACAGATTGCTCACGCTACTGTTTGTGGTTTAAGAACACCTTTAAGTGGTTTTCCACTCTGGGTGGGCCAGGTGTTCCTTGCCCCCATTCCGGTAAACCCACAACATTCCAGCGTGGGCATCATGGCCATCACGAACATGTCACAGTGCTGCAGAGATTTTGTTTATGGCCAGTTTTGGGGCCAGTTTATGGCCATATTTTGGGGGGCCCGTTCCCAACATTACAGAAACAAAATGCAGCATCTACTATCACTATCTTTTTGTTCAGTCATCCATTATGTGAATGACAACTTCATTGTTACTAACTTTGGAAAGATCCCATTTCAAAGAAAAATGGGATTTCAGCTTCTTCAGTGGTAGATTTTCTTACACTCAGCAGCTAATAAAATATCTGAACCCCACAAAAAACCCCTGTTTATCTCTGTTATCTCTGGGTATAGAAAAATGCTGAATTCTTATTTGTATGTGAAATAAAGTGGTTTTTCAATAAGAAATTTTGCTATAAGGTAAGAATTTTATTCTAAATATAATTTCTTTCTTTCTTTCTTTCTTTCTTTCTTTCCTCCTTCCTTCCTTCCTTGTTTTTTGTTTTTGAGACAGGTTCTCACTCTGTTGCCGCGTCTGGAGTGCAGTGGTGCGATCTTGGCTCACTGCAACCTCTGCCTCCCAGGTTTAAGTGGTTCTCTTGCCTCAGCCTCCCGAGTAGCTGGGATTACAGGTGCCCACCACCATGCCCGGCTAATTTTTGAAGTTTTAGTAGAGACGGGGTTTCACCATGTTGGCCAGGCTGGTCTCGAACTCTTGACCTCATTCCTAGAGCATTTTTTCCATTCATCTTTTATTAGTATTCAGATACACCTAGCAGCTGGTATGTTTTGTAGGATAGTTTTTGGTCATTCATTCTACCATGATTTAGCTTAGTATTAAAGGTTTATAGAATTTCCTTTTAGTTTGTAATTTAGAAACAAGATTGACATTTACTTCTTGTTCATATTCTCTAAGTTTTCACAACAGCTTCTCTCAGATAAGATCTCAAGGCCAGACATGGTGGCTCATGCTTGTAATCCCAGCACTTTGGGAGGCCCATATCACCTGGGGTCGGGAGTTCGAGACCAGCCTGGCCAGCATGGTGAAACCCCGTCTCTACTAAAAATACAAAAATTAGCCAGGCATGGTGACAGGTGCCTGTAGTCCCAGCTACTCAGGAGACTGAGGCAGGAGAATCGCTTGAACCCAGGAGGCGAGGTTGCAGTGAGCCGAGATCATGCCATTGCACTCCAGCCTGGCGGCAGAGTGAGACTTTGTCTCAAAAAAAAAAAAACAAAAAAAAAAACTCCAATAATCAGTTCAAGGTTGAACTGCTAACAATAAGATTTGAAGTTAACATTTAATTAATTTATTTATTTTTTAGACTCAGGGCCTCACTCTGTTGCCCAGGCTGGTATGCAGTGGCACCATCAGAGCTTCCTGCAGCCTTGAACTCCTGGGCTTAAGGGATCCTCCCACTCAGCCTCCTGAGTAGCTGGGACTACAGATGTGCACCACCATGTCCAGCTTAACATTTTATTTTATCTGATAGTAGAGTGAAGCACTTGCATTACAAAAATAAAATACATACAAATTACAACAACTTTGCCAATCTAACATATGACCTCGAATGATAGTTAAATTAGGAGCCAGTCAGCCACTTTCAGACATGTTTTTCAAAGTGAAATTTTAAAGGCAGTGTCATTGTTTACTTCTACTAATGCTCATAGGTTTAGCTGTGGTCCTGCTATAGAGTTTGTTAAGAAAACTTCCCTGAGTTGTTTTAAATGGTCTTATCAAAGCCAAACACTGAAATCCTATAATCATTGGAATTGGGAACAAAAGATACATTTCTAGGCTTTATTTTATTATAAATTAAAATCTTAGTGATTGTAGGATCATTTTTCCTTATGGATTTTTTCTAATATATTTAAAGCATAGATAATTGTGTTCAATCAGTTGTATTTTATGCTGAATCATTTGACCATGTGAGGAAAGCATATTTTTGGACTCTTATCCCATCTTGACCAGAGGGATCAGTAAAAACCTGGAATGAAGAAGTTCTTCATGTGCACATCTTTTTTTCTTGTGTGCACTGCCCTTCATTCACACTTCTGTGCATTCACACATTTGTGATTGCACGTTTTGGTATTGATTTAGAATCATTTATTAATTCCACAGTCAAGTTAATAAAATGCCATTGGGAATTAAAGATAAATTTTACATGCATTTTCTCAAAATTCATTACTTGATCCATTTATTCATTCTAAACCCATGTCAAATGCCATTCTTTAAACCTCATGTTTTATTAAAGTTGATTTCACTTATTAATTCAATCAAAAGCCATTGAAGTTTATAGCAAGAGGCATCAAAGAAGGCAGAATGTTTCTATCTGTTCTGGGATTAACGGGGGTAGAAAGATGGGAAGGGCAGAGGGACAAGAGGCCTCACAGAGACAGACAAGATATAAAGACACCTGCTTCCCTGGCCAGAAACCAACTTCCAGGATTCAGGATTCAGGAGTAAAGTGTCCCAATAATTAGAAGGTTTCCTGGTCTCTCTCAAATTCAGTGCTCATTTGGCCAGGGATAAGGCCCTCACACCCTTTGCTTTGAGGATCCAAGCTTAGAATGTGGCTGTCTCTGGGACATTTCATGCTAAAGAAAGCCCAGCAAGTGTAGACAAAGAGTCTAGAGGGCACCAGCCACCCTTCCATGGAACTCTGTTCAAGGCAACTCTCTGTGTTCTGTTACTTATATTGGCCGCGTCTTCAGGAATTTAGCGAAATGGCCATGTTGTCTCTGAGTGGAAGTGAGGGGAGGCCACTGGGCAGTCAGAGATTTTGAATCCCTGTTTCCTTTCCCCCCATCTCAACCAGAGGCCACTTGTGGAAGCCCAAGAAAAAAAGACACGAATGTCAGAGGTGAATCCAGGCTCATGAACCCATTGTGGTCACGGGACTGAAGCCACGTGGCCCAACAGTAATGAAGTCTATGAGGCCTTGGTAACCCCAAAGCTCTCCCCCAATTAGGAGCTGCCTCTCACTGCCATCAGGCACCCCAGGAGCTGGACATGTGGCATTCTTTGTCATGTCTGATGAGGAACTGGAGAGGTCCCACAGCATATAGACCTTGATCGAATTCGAGCTAGAGTGGAGTCAGGCAAAACTCTGCATTGACTCAGAGGCACCTACACGTGAAATAAAGTCTCCACTCAGAGCTTCCATCAGAGCATCAGGCTCAGTAGCAATTCCCTTCTGCTGTTGCTGTATTTGCCCTGTGACAACTGGTGCTTGAAGGAAGGAGAAATCATTATGTGTGCAGGAAAGCACATGCAATTAGAAAACTGGGACATGATTCATAAGGCAGGAGGGACCCTTTTCTCTTTCGTGGTAGATGTGGGACTCCCTGTCATCTTTGTCCTGATGCCCCAAGTGCACAAGGTGAATTTTCCTGCTCTCAGTTGAGTGACCAACACTGGGAGCTGGAATTCAGAGAAACAGTGGCAGCCTCTCTCTCTCCATCCCCCATCCCAGTAAATCTAAGGCAAGGGCCTAGGGCTCTTGCACTTTATTTTCACCATGCATTTTCCTTCTCTGGTTAAGAAAATAACCAAATGGCCAGGCGTGGTGGCTCACACCTGTAATCCCAGCACTTCGGGAGGCTGAGGTGGGAGGAGCACCTGAGGTCAGGAGTTCGAGACCAGCCTGGCAAACATGATGAAACTCCATCTCTACCAAAAATGCAAAAATTAGCCAGATGTGGTGGCATGCACCTGTAATCCCAGCTACTCAGGAGGCTGAGGCATGAGGATCACTTGAACTCGGAAGGTGGAGGTTGCAGCCAGCTGAGATTGTGCCACTGCACTCCAGCCTGTGATAGAGTGAGACCCTGTCTCGACAACAACAACAACAACAACAACAAAAAAGGAAATAAAAAAAGAGAAAATAACCAAATGTATAAAAATCAAGGTTGCAATTCTGCAATTCTTGTGGCACCCAGAATACTGGACTAGACCAAGGGTGCCAGGTGCTTGTCACTGCTCCACCACTCAACGGCTGTGACCTCAGGAGAATCTCTCCAAGTCCTGGTGCTTGTTAATTCATCTGTGAGTCATGGATAAACACATCCATTCTAGTGAGAATAAATGAAAACACATTTCATCCTTACTGAGATGCAGTGAGTGTTGCCCCAGTACTAAGGGGTAAATGCAGAGAGAAACATTAGTTTAGGATTTTTTTTTTTTGAGATGGAGTTTCACTCTTGTTGCCCAGGCTGGAATGCAATTGCATGATCTCTGCTTACTGCAACCTCTCCCCACTGTGTTCAAGCAATTCACCTACCTCAGCCTCCCAAGTAGCTGGAACTATAGGCTTGTGCCACTATGCCCGGCTAATTTTTTTGTATTTTTAGTAGAGTTAGGGTTTCACCATTTTGGCCAGACTGGTCTTCAACTCCTGATCTCAGGTGATCCACCCGCCTCAGCCTCCCAAAGTGCTAGGATTACAGGTGTGAGCCACCGTGCCTGACCATCAGCTCGGGATTTTAAGAAACATCCTTAAAAGTAGGAAGAAAGCACATAATACCTGCAAAGCCCTGGGTAAAAATCCTCTTTTACTTCAGTAATGATTACAAAATAATTATTTCTCATAACTTCTAGAAAATTAGAGGAAAACTCATTCCTTCAACATCTCAAGAAACTTAAATACAGATGGTGATTATATATCAGATTGGAACCACAAGCTTTGTTCTGAGTAAAACTGAAAAGAAATGGGGATATCTCCATTTTTGAGTGGTGACCATGGGACCCAAAGTGGTTTGTAAATGACCCTTTATCATCTACACTTGTCAATTTTCAATTGATTCACTCATTTCTTAGAAATCCCTGATAATTCATAATCTTGAAAAAATTTCATGTCCAGATACTAGGCAGGGTAATATGTTTGTTTTAATTTGCTAGGGCTGCCATAACAAAGTACCACACACTGGGTGACGTAAAGAACAGAAAAATTATTGTGCCACAGTTCCAGAGGCTGGAAGTCCAAGATCTTGGTGTTGGCAGTGCACATTTCTTCTGAGGCTTCTTTCCTTGGCTTGTAGATGTGTTTTCCCTGTGTCTTTACATGGTCATTCCTCTGCATCAGTCTATGTCTAATCTTCTCTTTTTATAAGGACACTAGTCACATTGAATTAAGACCCACTCATATGACCTCATTTTACCTTAATGACCTCCTTAAAGACCTCTCCAAATGCAGTCACTTTCTCAGGTACTGGGGGTTAGGACACCAACATGCCAATTTTTGGAGAGATGCAATTTAGCCCATAACAGTCTGGATTAACCTGGAGACTCCTTTTCCTTCCTTCCTTCCTTCCTTCCTTCCTTCCTTCCTTCCTTCCTTCCTTCCTTCCTTCCTTCCTTTTTTCTTTCTTTCTTTCTTTTTCTTTCTTCTCTTTCTTTTGTTTTCTTTTCTTTTATTGAGATGGAGCCTTGTTCTGTCACCCAGGCTGGAGTGCAGTGGCACGATCTCGGCTCACTGCAACCTCCGCTTCCCAGGTTCAAGCATTTCTCCTGTCTCAGCTTCCCGAGTAGCTGGGATTACAGATGCCTGCCACCACGCCCAGCTAATTTTTGTATTTTTAGTAGAGATGGGGTTTCACCATGTTGGCCAGGCTGGTCTCATACTCCTGACCTTAGGTGATCTATTCACCTCGGCCTCCCAAAATGCTGGGATTACAGGCGCCAGCTACCGCTCCTGGCCGAGATTGCGTTTTCTAAAGAGTAAAACAGAGTAAATCTCTTTGGCTTAACTCTGTCTCTTAATACTCTGAAATTTTGTTCTTGCAGTGAGAACAAAAAAAAAAGACAGCCAAAGGTTGGTGTCACGCAGAAGGTGAGCCCTCCCTAACTCTGGCTGCCCCAAGACGCAGTGCTGTGTCATTCCTGAAAGTTTGCTCCATTCTAGTGATTCTGGCTCCAGCTTTTTCATTGGGAAGAGGATTCTCTCCCAGAGGAAAAACTTCTCCTGCTATGCAGGCTTATTTTCTTTATATTTGTAGGACAAAAAAGTTGATGTAATAAAAAGAATATATTTGTGAAATTTTTGTGGTAATCATTTTGATATCCTTATCAATACCCCATATTGTGATGAACATGTTGGCTTCATTTTGGCAGAAGGGACATGACACTGGACATTTTGAGCCACAATTTCTCTGGGCCTTTCCATGGGATTCAGTTTCTGCCCTGGTAGGTGAAGGGAGAGCTCTTGGTGTAGGGTTTGGTCTTTATAATAAACTATGCTTTTGGGGTAGCAGGTTTATCTCTGGAAGCATGAAGCTTAGTCAGGAGTGCGACCCTCCTCCCCATTCAAAAGGTCAAGGTAGAGCAGGTTCTTGTTCAGGGCGCAGTGAGCGAGAGAAGGGAAAGTGACAGAGCATTCTTTCACCTTTTTGTGACATGCATGCATCCAAGTCTCTGGTGTTTTAAATAACTGAAACTGAGACCTAGATCCACTTATCTGTAAAGTAGAACTGTGGAGAAGGAAGCATATCATCCCCGCCACTGGAGAGATCCCTGAAGAGAGATTTGTGAGCCCCCATTTTATCGAAAATGACACAAAATTTCATCAAAATAAAGTGAAATTGTGGCTGTAGATGGGGTTTTATTTAGAGCTTTGACTCCGCATCTGCTTCCTAAGACATGGTCCTTCCCCAGGATACTACAGAATCACAGGGCTTAGACTGGAGGGGTAAGGCGTGATGGTGTTCTTCCTTTCTGGCCGATAGGATGTTTTGGATTGTATGTATTTTCCAAAGACGGCTGCAGAAGTATCTTCCATCACACTTTGTTTTCTTTAGTTTGATCCACCACTCCCTCATCAAGAGGTAAGTTCTTTCCATCCCCTTAAACATGAGCAGATCTGATATCTGCGTTAGCCAATAAAATAGGGCAGAAACGTGGTTGTGTCAGTTCTGGGCACTGCTGTTAACCATCCTGCCTGCATCTGGTTCCTTCCACTTCAATCCCTGAACCATGTTAAACTCCAAGGCCATCATCTGAGCCCAGCCAACACATAGAACCCTATGAGAGATCATTAAAAATTCTTAGTTACTATTTTCAGGAATATCCTTTTCCATCCTTTCATTTTCAACTTGTATGCGTCCTTAGATCCAAAGTGAGTATCTTGTAGCCAGCATATGGTTAGAATCTTTTTATTATATCCATTGTGATAATCTCAATTCTGATTGGGGAGTTTAATCCATTACATTTAAAGTAATTACTGATGAAGAAGGACTTACCTCTGTAATTGTGATGGTTTTATGCATGTCTTATAGCTGTTTCGTCCCTTATCTTCCTCATTCCAACCTTCCTTTGTGTTTAGTCGATTTTTTTCTAGTGATATGTTTTAATTGCCTTCTCACTTTCTTTTGTGTATATTTTATGTATATTTTCTTTGTGATTACTATGGTATTGCACATAACAATACAACTATAACAATTTTGAATTGAAACCAGTATGAAACTCTGCTTCTTTACATCTTTTTCCACCCCTCATTTTACATTATTGATGTCACAAATTACTCCTCTGCAGGCTAGCAGGCTGGAAAGTCACAATGTTGCAGTCTTCAGTCTAAAATTTGTAAACCAGGCTGGCAGATTGGAAATCTAAACTGTAGTTGCTACTGTCATCTTGAGGCAGAATTTTTTCTTCTTTGAGAAGCCTCACACTTTGCCCAAAGGCCTTCAACTGATTCAAAAAGTCCCGCCCACATTTTTGAGGGTAATTTCTTTTTCATAAAATCAACTGACATAAGATTTTAACCACAAGTGCAAAACACCATCATAGCAACATATAAATTAGTGTTTGATTAAATAACTAGACACTATGGTTTAGTAAAATTGACACATAATACCCACCACCCTAGTCCATGCTTGTGAACTTGGCACCCATTAACGTTTTCTTAAACCATACTTAGTCTCCAAATAAAAACAATTATAAAGTCATACTTTTGCTAAAGATGATACAGCTATCTTGCATCCATCTAAAAACACTAACCATTTCCTCAGAAAAAAATTCAAACTCAATGCATGATAAGCATTTTTCTCTTCGATATACTGTAACCTAAACACCATGTTTAAAAAAAGTTGAACCATCATTAATAAAAGGGAACTATTATTAGCACATTTTATGTTTTATTACAAGATGATAAGGAAAAGATGAAAACAAAGGTATTTGCTTAGTACATGTATGGGTACATACACACAGACATAAATATCATTGTAAAAACATAAGGAAGAAATGCTTATAACATTTACTGTCTTTATTTCTGCAACTGATCACATGGTTACAGCTGGTTATTTATTTATTTATTTACTTATTTATTTATTTGATACAGGGTCTTGTTCTGTTGCCCAGGCTGGAGTGCAGTGGCATTACCTTGGCTCACTGCAAACTCCACCTCCTGGGCACAAGTGATCCTTCTACCTCAACCTCCTAAGTAGCTGGGACTGCAAGCACACCACCAAGTCTGACTAATTTTTTGTATGTATTTTCAGTAGAGATGGAATTTCAGCATGTTGCCCAGGTTGGTCTCACATTCCTCAACTTAAGGAATCCACCTGCCTCAGCCTCCCAAAGTGCTGGGGTTATAGGCATGAGCCACTGTGCTGGCCACAACTAGTGTAAATAGCTTTCTTTCACTAACCATCCCATAGTCCCACTGCCTTCAGCAAGTCCGTCAGCTGATCAGGTTTCTTTTCCTGCTTGGGTGACTCATACCTTCATTCCTGAAGGGCATGGGTCATTAGTAGTCCTGCCTGACTTGGGTTGTTGTAGTTTTTATTGACTTTAATTATAGAGCAGAGTATTACTAAGAGATGCTCTAAAAGATCTCCTGTATTTCAAACATAGTCTTATTTACTGCCATTGTGTAGTAGCAGACCAATTTCCCCCTGATGACCAGGACCAATCACCCCAGAAAGTGCAGTAACTCCTTCCTTTGTCTGTTGATTCAGTAACATGAGGAGCTGAAGGGCCCGGGTGGGTGTCTTAGCTTCCAGCTCAATGGAATAATTTCTGTGTCTCCTGAGGGAGTATTCCTCCCTTTGGTAAACCTCTAGATCCTGATCCTATTCCTCGTGACTGGACAAGACCTCCCAACCAGGGTCTCCAGTACCTCCTACAGGTGTGTTTGGGCTGGCAACAGGTCTGTACTTTCCTGAGACAGAGCTCCCAAAGGAAAAGGCAGACTACCATCTTTGCTGTTATGTAGCTTTCACTGGTGATATCTCCAGTTACTGGAAAATCTGAGGCAACTGGGGACTGGAGCAGGCCCTCAGCAAACTGCAGTAGCCCTACAGAAAAGTGGCCAGACTGTTGAAAGAGAAAACAAAAGAAGAGAAAAACAAAACCCATTCATAGATCAGCAACCTCAAAGAATGAAGGTAGATAAGCCCACTAAGATGAGAAAGAATCAGCACAACAATGCTGAAAACTCAAAAAGCCAGCAAGGGTTTGGAACCAGGCTAAAGCTGAGATGACTGAAAGAGCAGAAGTAGAATTCAGAATATGGAGAGGGAAGAAGTTCACTGTGCTAAAGGAGTACAGTGTGACCCAATCCAAGGAAGCTAAAAATAATGATAAAACATTGCAGGAGCTGACAGACAAAATAGCCAGTATTATAGAAGAATGAAACCAACCTGATAAAGCTGAAAAACACACTAAAAGAATTTCATAGTGCACTCACAAGTATTAACAGCAGAATAGAACAAGTGGAGGAAAGACTCTCAGTGCTTGAAGACCAGCTTTCTAAAATAAGACAGGAAGACAAGAATAGAGAAAACAGAATGAAAAGGAACAAACAAAACCTCTGAGAAACATCAGATTATGTAAAGAAACTGAATCCATGAATTATTGGTATACCTGAAAGAGATGGGAATAATGGAATCAATTTGGAACACACTTCAAGATATCATCCATGAGAACTTTCCCAACCTAGCTAGACAGACCAACATTCAAATTCAGAAATGCAGAGGACACTAGTAAGTTACTCCATGAGAAGATCATCCCCAAGATACAATCATCAGATTCTCCATGGTTGAAATGAAAGAAAGAACGTTAAGGGCAGCCAGAGAGAAAGGCCAGGTCACCTACAAAGGGAAGCCCATTAGACTAACAGTGGACCTCCAAGTGGAAACCCTACACACCAGAAGAGATTGAGGGCCAGTATTGAACATTGTTAAAGAAAAGAATTTCCAACCCACAATTTCATATCCAGCCAAACTAAGCTTCATAAGCAAAAAAGAAATAAAATTCTTTTCAGACAAACAAATGCCAAGGGAATTCATTACCACCAGACCTGCATTACAAGAACTCCTAAAAGAAGCACTAAATATGGAAAGGAAAGACAGTTACCAGCCACTACAAAAACACGCTGAAGTACATAGACCAGTGACGCAATAAAGCAACCACATAAGCAAGTCTGCAAAGTAACCAGCTAACACCATGATGACAGGATCAAATCCATACATATCAATACTAACCTTAAATGTAAATGGGCTAAATGCCACATTTAAAAGACACAGAAGGGCAAGCTGGATAAAGAACCAAGACCTATCAGTATGCTGCCTACAATACACTCATCTTACATTCAATGACACACATAGGCACAAAATAAAGAGATGGAGGAAAATTTTCCAAGCAAATGGAAAGCGGAAGAAAGCCAGGGTTGCAATCCTAGTTTCTGACAACACAGACTTTAAACCAAGAAAGATAAAAAAAGATAAAGGTGGGCATTACATAATGGTAAAGGGTTCAATTCAATGAAGAGATCTAACTATCCTAAATATATATGCATCCAATAGAGGAACACCCAGATTTATAAGGCAGGTTCTTAGAGACCGTCAAAGAGATTTAGAACCTCACACAGTAGAAGTGGTGGACTTTAATACCCCACTGACAATATTAGACAGATCATCAAGACAGAAAATTAACAAAGATATTCAGGACCTGAATTCAGCCCTGGAGCAAATGGACCTGATAGATATTTACAGAACTCCAGACCCCAGAACAACAGAATATACATTTTTCTCATTGCTACATGGCACTTACTCTAAAATCAATCACGCAATCAGAAGTAAAACACTCCTCAGCAAATGCAAAAGAACTGAAATCATAACAAATAGTCTCTCAGACTACAGTGCAATCAAATTCAAAATCAAGAATAAGAAATTCACTAAAACCATATAATTACTTAGAAATTAAATAACCTGTTCTTGAATGACTTTTAGTAAATAATGAAATTCAGGTAGAAATCAAGAAGTTCTTTGAAACTAATGAGAAAAAAGATACAATGTACCAGAACCTCTGGGAAACAGCTAAGGCAGTGTTAAGAGGGAAATTTATAGCAGTAAATGCCCACATCAAAAAGTTAGAAAGATCTCAAGTCAACAACCTAAAATCAAACCTAAAAGAACTTAAGAATGAAGAGCAAACATATCCCGAAGCTAGCAGAAGACAAGAAATAACAAAAAAAATTAACAAAAGTATTGTCTCCTGAAGGAGACAGAGACACAAAAAACCATTTGAAGGATCAATAAATTCAGGAGGTTTTTTAAAAGAAATTAATAAAATAGACCACTAGCTAAGCTAATAAAGAAGAAAAGAGAGAAAATTCCAATAAACACAATCAGAAACAATAAGAGGAACATTACCACTGACCCCACAGAAATACAAGAAACCACCAGAAAATATTATGAACACTTCTATGCGCATAAACTAGAAAATCTAGAAGAAATGGATAAATTCCTGGACACATACACCGCCCCCAAGACTGAACCAGGAAGAAATGCAATCTCTGAAAAAATAATGAGTTCTGAACTTGAGGCAGTAATGAAGAGCCTACCAAAAAAAAAAAAAAAAGTGCAGGACCAGATGATTGACAGGTGAATTCTACTGGATGTACAAAGAAGAGATGGTACCATTCCTATTGAAACTATTCCCAAAAAATGAGGAGGAGAGACTCCTCCCTAACTCATTCTATTAGGCCAGCATCATCCTGATACCAAAATGTGGCAGAGATACAACAACAACAAACAAGAGAAAACATCAGGCCAGTATTCTTGATGAACATTAATGCAAAAATCTCCAACAAAATGCTGGCAAACCGAATCCTGCAGCACATCAAAAACCTTATCCACCACAATCAAGTAGGCTTCATCGCCAGGATGCAAGGTTAGTTCAACATATGCAAATCAATAAATGTGATTCATCACGTAAACAGAACTAAAGACAAAAACTACATGATTGTCTCAGTTGATGAAGAAAAGGCTTTTGATAAAATTCAAACTCTATTCATGTTTTTAAAAAAACTCTCAATAAACTAGGTGTTCAAGGAATATACCTCAAAACAATAAAAGCCATCTATGACAAACCCACAGCCAACTTCATACTGAATGGGCAAAACTAGAAGCATTCTCCTTGAAATCAGCACAAGACAAGGATGCCTTCTCTCACTGCTCCTGTTCAACACAGTATCGGAAATTCTGACCAGGGCAATCAGGCAAGTGAAATTAAAAAAAAAAAAAAAAAAAAAGAAGGATGTTCAAATAGGACGAGAGGAATTCAAATGATTCCTGTTTGCAGATGACATGATTCTATAACTAGAAAAACCCATAGCCTCAGTCCAAAAGCTTCTTAAGCTGATAAACAACTTCAGCAAATTCTCAAGATACAAAATCAATGTGCAAAAATTACTAGCATTTCTACACACTGACAACAGGCAAGCCAAGAGCCAAAGCAGGAATGAACTCCCACTCACAATTGCCACAAAAAGAATACAATACCTAGGAATAATGCTAATTTGGGAGGTAAAAGATGTCTGCAAGGAGAACTACTGGTCCCAAAAAGTGTGCATTAATGTTAGCAGTAGCTATGATAGGCTGGGTGGAATGCCCATAGGTGGTGTTTGCAGGTAGGTGACAGCTAAGGTGATAGCACCCAACCTCGGTTACCCAGGAGGAGTTCTCAGGTGTCCACCGTGGTGGATTGGGTTGAGCAATTCCCAGGACCCTGGGCTGTGTTCTCTGTCTCAGTGGAAAAAGGAAATGAAGCTGTCTTTTCATCACTAAATGCTGTGCCAACTAGTCCCTTAATTTTCTTTTTGCCTGAAGGACTGAAACATTTATTATAGTTTAGATCTGCTAGTTATAACCTTTTTCACTCCCTATATAACTAAAATCTATTTTTCGATAGCTATATTCATGGTATGTTAATTGGTTAATTAGTTTGATTTAATCATTACACATGGTATACATATATCAGTACATCACACAACATCTCATGAATGTATTATGATTTGTCAATTTAAATTATACATATATATGTTTTAGAAAGGTATTATTTTCTGGGAATAGAATCTAGTTTCACAGTATTTTCCTTTTAGGACTTTAAAGATGTTGCTCATCTGTCTTCTCATTTGCATTGTTTCCAGTGAAATAACGGCTGTCATCTTTATTATTATTCTCATGTCTTTTTTTTTACTTTCTGCTTATTCATTTTTCTCTCCTTCTGTTTTCAACAAATACATGTTTTTTTCACCCACAGTTATAGAATGAACTTGAGCAACAATCTATAGGAATGGCTTTTTGACTGTTGGTTGAAAATTTTTAGAAACAGTTGTTTGTTCCTTGTTTTATTAGGACAAAGGCTAATTTCCTCAGAATATTCTTAAATTGAAGAATGTCATAATTAATTTTATTTGTCATCTTGGCTGAACCACAGTGCCCAGATAGGTGATCAAGCATTATTCTGGATGATTTGTGAGAATGTTTCTTGGATAACATTAATGCAAAATAACTAGACTTTGAGTAAAGTAGATTGATCTCTATAATGTGGGTGGGCTTCATTCAATTCATTGAAGGTGTAAATTGAACAAAACATTGACCTTCTCTGAGCAAGATGGAACTCTGCAGCAGACAGCGCTGGGATTTGAACTGCAATATCCGTCAACTGATCTCAAACAGCTGGTTGGTTTGTGTACAGCATTTGGAAGATGAATGGACAACATCCTGTTTGGAAGTCCACCGCTTTGATCGAAGAAGATAAAAACAGAACAACTCTTGTGGGCTGAATTGCAGGGTGTTTCTCAGCAGTAGTGGAAGAATTGAACAATAATAAAGCTCCTATGTTTTAGTTTTTATTGACTTACAGGCAGTGACTAATGGCCTGGCCATATAATTAATCAGGAAAGCAAAGGAAAACTTGCTGATGAAAAGAGTGCCCAAATGAGACACAGTCCTATGGAAATCACGATGGTAATTTGAGAGGTTCATTAATGTAAGACACGTTGATGCCTGATATAGAGTGGATGTTGTTCTTGCCCGAATCTCATGTTGGATGGAATCCCCAGCATTAGAGGTGGGACCTGCAGGGAGGTGATTGGATCACGGGGGCAGTTTCTCATGAATGGTTTAGCACCGTCCCCTCAGTGCCCATCAATGCCCATCAGAATAACTCCCTTCCAGGTTTGGAAGGTGATTGAAATAAACAAGCATTTATCTCCAAGTGTTTGCCAGGTGCACCTGTAATTCCAGCTATGACAACAGCTGAGGCAGAAGGATATCTTGAGTCCAGGAGTTAGAGTTTGGCCTGAGCAGCACTTGAGTCCAGCCAGAGAAAGATATCAAGACCACATCTAAAAAAAATCCACGTTTGCTTGTGGTGATCCCCTGGGTCCATGAAATAAGTAGACACTGGGGCTGTAGCAATGCAGAGAGAGATGGAATCAAGGCATATTCCTCTTGCATTCCCCACATCACAGGCACAAAATACATATAAGTGTTTTCTTTAACAAAAAAAAAGAGAGAGAGACAGAGATAGCATATGGCTATGTGGCAGATTCTTTTATGGGAAGATCTTGAAAATACAGAGCTGGCAAGTTACACTGATACCAGTAGCCCCAGGAAGCAGCAAATGGGTCTTGGCAGCAATAGATACGCACCCTGGAGCTGGGCATTGCTCAGCTGCTGGTAGATGTGTTACCAAACAGAACTGGAGTCCACTCACCAGGGGCAGTAAAAACAAACATCCATACTGAGATTTTGTAGTGAGATAAAGGAGGGCATTTATTTGTAGGGTGCCAAGCAAGGAGAATCAGCCAGCTCACAGTTAAGACCCAACCTCCTCAATGGCTCACAAGCAAGGTTTCTTAAAGATAGGGGTAAATTTCAGGAAAGCAGAGTTATAGGCAACATCATAAATCAATGCATAGAAGTTACACACTGGTTTGGCCTTAAAAGGAGGAATATCCTGATGAGGGAGCTTACAAGTCGTAGATAGAGATAAAGATTCTCTGATTTGTGATTCATAAGGAAGCAAAGCTTCCTTACACAGTTGGGGGCAGTAGAGAGGAATGTTCAGGCCTGGCCTGTGGGCTTTACTCTCTCCAGGCCCCTCAGGAAGAAATTTAGAACAAAGAACAGTGGTCAGAGTTCAGTCCTCAGTTTCCCCTTATCTGAGGTCTTCCTGTCAGTGGATCTATTAGGTGGGAATCTGAGTTTCTGAAAAACAACTCAGGGACATATATTAAGATGTTCTCTTTAGTTTCCATAGAGAATCCAACATCTTGTGACTCTAACTTCCTTGGCTATCGTTTTAAGCTATCATTACCTTCTTGTTTATAAGGTCACTCACTTACTTTTTAGGGCTGGCTAGGTGCCTGGAATTTCTTTTGAAGGAACTGAAGGTTTTTCTTTATTTCCATGTTGGGAGGCCCTGGCAGGCTTCTAAGAGAGGTCCCTGCTTTATCTCAGATGCAAATGCTCAGAGTGCTACTAAGAGCTTGAATGGGAGGTACTGCAACCATGTGGACCACTGAGTCACATTTCTTTACACCAGAAAATGCGCTTGCTCAAAATTCCAGAAAGACATCCTTCTCAGAGGAAGAGTTCCATAAAGAATTAAAATATTCCATTGAAACATTGGTTGTATAAAGCAAGAGTGGGGAAACAAGCATGAAGGGTGGGCTTACACACCTTCATGAGTGTGCTTACACTTGATATGAAAGTATCCTCTCTTTTCCTTGTGGATCAGGGGAAGGTGCTGGTGTGATCTATATACAATCCTTCCCAAGGTGGGAGGACACTGGAATGATGACTGTACTTTACCTCAACTTGCTTTTCTCATACCTGATGCAGTGGTCTCAGGACTAGGGATGCAAATAAAAGTCCAGAAACAGGAATTATTCCTAAGCAAGAAACTGTAAATATATTTTGTGTCCATTATGTAATGATTCCTAAGGGTCTGGAGAAGTAGGTTGTGCCTTCAGTGCATCTGGCAAAGTTGGGGTTAACACTGAATGCAGCTGTATTGCCTGGGGTCAGCTAGCCAACCAGTTCTCTACTGCATAACCCTACCCTCTATGAACTGGAATGGATGATGCAAGACAATTGCTAGAACAGTATTGGTCCGTGCAGTCTAGGTCAGCACAGCAGCAGAACTTCATGTCCCTTCCATAACTAGAAATGTTTGGTATAAATGAAGAGAAGGAGAAATAGTAGCTGAGGGTAAATGAATGAATAAATGGGTTATGCAATGAGGAAAATCCAATGTTACATGAACTACTCAAAAGAGATATAAGCAAGAGATGATATTGTCTCTTAACTCAATTTTACCAAATGCCTGAACGGGTGCAGCCTTATGTTGCTGAGACTACTTCTGTTTTGGGGCTGCACCGGGATAATTTTTTTTTATTATACTTTAAGTTCTAGGGTACATGTGCACAACATGCAGGTTTGTTACCTATGTGTACATGTGCCATGTTGGTGTGCTGCACCCATTAACTCGTCATTTGCATTAGATATTTCTCCTAATGCTATCCCTCCCCCCTGTCCCCACCCCATGACAGGCCCTGGTGTGTGATATTCCCCACCCTGAGTTCAAGTGTTCTGATTGTTCAATTCCCACCTATGGGTGAGAACATGCAGTGTTTGGTTTTCTGTCCTTGTGATAGTTTGCTCAGAATGATGGTTTCCAGCTTCATCCACATCCCTGCAAAGGACATGAACTCATCCTTTTTTATGGCTGCATAGTATTCCATGGTGTATTTGTGACACATTTTCTTTTTTTCTTTTTTCTTTTTGAGATGGAGTCTCGCTCTGTCGCCCAGGCTGGAGTGCAGTGGTGCGATCTCGCTCACTGCAAGCTCTGCCTCCTGGGTTCATGCCATTCTCCTGCCTCAGCCTCCCAAGTAGCTGGGACTATAGGCACCCGCCACCATGACCAGCTAATTTTTTTGTATTTTTAGTACAGACGGGTTTTCACTGTATTAGGCAGGATGGTCTTGATCTCCTGACCTCGTGATCCACCCACCTCAGCCTCCCAAAGTGCTGGGATTACAGGTATGAGCCACTGCACCCGGCTTATGTGCCACATTTTCTTAATCCAGTCTATCACTGATGGACATTTGGGTTGGTTCCAAGTATTTTCTATTGTGAATAGTGCAATAAACATACATGTGCATTTATAGTAGCATGATTTATAATCCTTTGGGTATATACCCAGTAATGGGATGGCTGGGTCAAATGGTATTTCTAGTTCTAGATCCTTGAGGAATTGCCACACTGTCTTCCACAATGGTTGAACTAGCTTACACTCCCACCAACAGTGTAAAAGTGTTCCTATTTCTCCACATGCTCTCCAGCACCTGTGGTTTCCTGACTTTTTAATGATTGCCATTCTAACTGGTGTGAGATAGTATCTCCTTTTGGTTTTGATTTGCATTTCTTTGATGACCAGTGATGATGAGCATTTTTTCATGTGTCTGTTGGCTGCATAGATGTCTTCTTTTGAGAAGTGTCTGTTCATATCCTTTGCCCACTTTTTGATGGGGTTGTTTGATTTTTTCTTGTAAATTTGTTTAAGTTCTTTGTAGATTCTGGATATTAGTCCTTTGTCAGATGGGTAGATTACAAAAATTTTCTCCCATTCTGTAGGTTGCCTGTTCACTCTGATGGTAGTTTCTTTTGCTGTGCAGAAGCTCTTTAGTTTAATTAAATCCCATTTGTCAATTTTGGCTTTTGTTGCTATTGCTTTTGGTGTTTCAGTCATGAAGTCCTTGCCCATGTCTATGTCCTGAATGGTATTGCCTAGGTTTTCTTCTAGGGTTTTTATGATTTTAGGTCGAACATTTAAGTCTTTAATCCATCTTGAATTAATTTTTGTATAAGGTCTAAGGAAGGGATCCAGTTTCAGCTTTCTACTATGGCTAGCCAGTTTTCCCAGCACCATTTATTAAATAGGGAATCCTTTCCCCATTTCTTGTTTTTGTCAGGTTTGTCAAAGATCAGATAGTTGTAGATGTGTGATATTATTTCTGAGGGCTCTGTTCTGTTCCATTGGTCTATATCTCTGTTTTGGTTCCAGTACCATGCTGTTTTTGTTACTGTAGCCTTGTAATATAGTTTGAAGTCAGGTAGCGTGATGCCTCCAGCTTTGTTCTTTTGGCTTAGGATTGTCTTGACAATGCAGGCTCTTTTTTGGTTCCATATGAACTTTAAAGTAGTTTTTTCCAATTCTGTGAAGAAAGTCATTGGTAGCTTGATGGGGATGGCATTAAATCTATAAATTACCTTGGGCAGTATGGCCATTTTCACGACATTGATTCTTCCTATTCATGAGCATGGAATGTTCTTCCATTTGTTTATGTCCTCTTTTATTTCGTTGAGTAGTGGTTTGTAGTTCTCCTTGAAGAGGTCCTTCACATCCCTTGTAAGTTGGATTCCTAGGTATTTTATTCTCTTTGAAGCAATTGTGAATGGGAGTTCACTCATGATTTGGCTCTCTGTTTGTCTGTTATTGGTGTATAGGAATACTTGTGATTTTTGCACATGGATTTTGTATCCTGAGACTTTGCTGAAGTTGCTTATCAGCTTAAGGAGATTTTGGGCTGAGATGATGGGGTTTTCTAAACATCCAATCATGTCATCTGCAAACAGGGACAATTTGACTTCCTCTTTTCCTAATTGAATACCCTTTATTTCTTTCTCTTGTCTGATTGCCCTGGCCAGAATTTCCAACACTATGTTGAGTAGGAGTGGTGAGAGAGGGCATCCCTGTCTTGTGCCAGTTTTCAAAGGGAATGCTTCCAGTTTTTGCCCATTCAGTATGATATTGGCTGTGGGTTTGTCATAAATAGCTCTTATTATTTTGAGATACGTCCCATCAATACCTAGTTTATTGAGAGTTTTTGGCATGAAGGGCTGTGGAATTTTGTTGAAGGTCTTTTTGGCATCTATTGAAATAATCATGTGGTTTTTGTCTTTGGTTCTGTTTATATGCTGGATTATGTTTATTGATTTGTGTATGTTGAACCAGCCTTGCATCCCAGGGATGAAGCCCACTTGATCATGGTGGATAAGCTTTTTGATGTGCTGCTGGATTCGGTTTGCCAGTGTTTTACTGAGGATTTTTGCATCCATGTTCATCAGGGATATTGGTCTAAAATTCTCTTTTTTTTGTTGTGTCTCTGCCAGGCTTTGGTATCAGGATGATGCCAACCTCATAAAATAAGTTAGGGAGGATTCCCTCTTTTTCTATTGATTGGAATATTTTCAGAAGGAATGGTACCAGCTCCTCTTTGTACCTCTGTTAGAATTTGGCTGTGAATCCATCTGGTCCTGGACTTTTTTTGGTTGGTAGGCTATTAATTATTGCCTCAATTTCAGAGCCTATTATTGGTCTATTCAGGGATTCAACTTCTTCCTGGTTTAGTCTTGGGAGGGTGTATGTGTCCAGGAATTTATCCATTTCTTCTAGATTTTCTAGATTATTTGCATAGAGATGTTTATAGTATTCTCTGATGGTAGTTTGTATTTCTGTGGGATTGGTGGTGATATCCCCTTTATCATTTTTTATTGTGTCTATTTGATTCTTCTCTCTTTTCTTCTTTATTAGTCTTGCTAACGGTCTATCAATTTTGTTGATCTTTCCAAAAAAACCAGCTGCTGGATTCATTGATTTTTTGAAGGGTTTTTTGTGTCTCTATCTTCTTCAATTCTGCTCTAATCTTAGTTATTTCTTGTCTCCTGCTAGCTTTTGAATGTGTTTGCTCTTGCTTCTCCAGTTCTTTTAATTGTGATGTTAGGCTGTCGATTTTAGATCTTTCCTGCTTTTTCTTGCAGGCATTTAGTGCTACAAATTTCCCTCTACACACTGCTTTAAATGTGTCCCAGAGATTCTGGTATGTTGTGTCTTTGTTCTCATTGGTTTCAAAGAACATCTTTATTTCTACCTTCATTTCGTTATGTACCCAGTAGTCATTCAGGAGCAGGTTGTTCAGTTTCCATGTAGTTGAGTGGTTTTGAGTGAGTTTCTTAATCCTGAGTTCTAATTTGATTGCACTGTGGTCTGAGAGACAGTTTGTTATAATTTCTATTCTTTTACATTTGCTGAGGAGTGCTTTACTTCCAACTATGTGGTCAATTTTGGAATAAGTGTGATATGGTGCTGAGAAGAAGGTATTTTCTGTTGATTTGGGGTGGAGAGTTCTGTCGATGTCTATTAGGTCTGCCTGGTGCAGAGCTGAGTTCAAGTCCTGGATATCCTTGTTAACTTTCTGTCTCGTTGATCTGTCTAATGTTGACAGTGGGGTGTTAAAGTCTCCCATTATTATTGTGTGGGAGTCTAAGTCTTTTTGTAGTTCTCTAAGGACTTGCTTTATGAATCTGGGTGCTCCTGTATTGGGTGCATATATATTTAGGATAGTTAGCTCTTCTTGTTGAATTGATTCCTTTACCATTACGTAATGGCCTTCTTTGTCTCTTTTGATCTTTGTTGGTTTAAAGTCTGTTTTATCAGAGACTAGGATTGCAACCCCTGCTTTTTTTGTTTTCCATTTGCCTGGTAGATCTTCCTCCATTCCTTTATTTTGAGCCTATGTGTGTCTCTGCACGTGAGATGGGTTTCCTGAATACAGCACACTGATGGGTCTTGACTCTTTATCCAATTTGCCAGTCTGTGTCTTCTAATTGGGGCATTTAGCCCATTTACATTTAAGGTTAATATTGTTATGTGTGAATTTGACCCTATCGTTATGATGTTAGCTGGTTATTTTGCCCGTTAGTTGATGCAGTTTCTTCCTAGCATCGATAGTCTTTACAATTTGGCATATTTTTGCAGTGGCTGGTACTGGTTGTTCCTTTCCATGTTAGTGCTTCCTTCAGGAGCTCTTGTAAGGCAGGCCTGGTGGTGACAAAACCTCTCAGCATTTGCTTGTCTGTAAAGGCTCTTATTTCTCCTTCACTTATGAAGCTTAGTTTGGCTGGTTATGAAATTCTGGGTTGAAAATTCTTTTCTTTAAGAATGTTGAATATTGGCCCCCACTTGCTTCTGGCTTGTAGAGTTTCTGCCAAGAGATCCACTGTTAGTCTGATGGGCTTCCCTTTGTGGGTAACCTGACCTTTCTCTCTGGCTGCCCTTAACATTTTTTCCCTCATTTCAACCTTATTGAATCTGACAATTATGTGTCTTTGGGTTGCTCTTCTTGAGGAGTATCTTTGTGGCGTTCTCTGTATTTCACGAATTTGAATGTTGGCCTGCCTTGCTAGGTTGGGGAAGTTCTCCTGGATAATATCCTGAAAAGTGTTTTCCAACTTGGTTCCATTCTCTCTGTCATTTTCAGGTACACCAATCAAATGTAGATTTGGTCTTTTCACATAGTCCCATATTTCTTGGAGGCTTTGTTCATTTCTTTTTACTCTTTTTTCTCTCAACTTCTCTGCTTGCTTCATTTCATTCATTTGATCTTCAATCACCGATACCCTTTCTTCCACTTGATCGAATTGGTTACTGAAGCTTGTGCATGCGTCATGTAGTTCTCATGCCATGGTTTTCAGCTCCATCAGGTCATTTAAGTTCTTCTCTATGCTGTTTATTTTAGCTAACTATTCATCTAATCTTTTTTCAAGGTTTTTAGCTTCCTTGCGATGGGTTCGAACATCCTCCTTTAGCTCAGAGAAGTTTGTTATTACCAATCTTCTGAAGTCTACTTCTGTCAACTTGTCAAAGTCATTCTCCATCCAGCTTTGTTCCATTGCTAGGGAGGAGTTGCGATCTTTTGGAGGAGAACAGGTGCTCTGATTTTTAGAATTTTTAGCTTTTCTGCTCTGGTTTCTCCCCATCTTTGTGGTTTTATCTACCTTTGGTCTTTGATGATGGTGACCTACAGATGGGGTTTTGGTGTAGATGTCCCTTTTGTTGATGTTATTCCTTCTGTTTGTTAGTTTTCATTCTAACAGTCGGGACCCTCAGCTGCAGGTCTATTGGAGTTTGCTGGAGGTCCACTCCAGACCCTGTTTGCCTGGGTAACACTAGCAGAGGCTTCAGAACAGCAAATATTGCAGAACAGCAAATGTTGCTGCCTGATCCTTCCTCTGGAAGTTTCGTCTCAGAGGGGCACCCGGCCGTATGAGGTGTCATTCGGTCCCTACTGGGAGGTGTCTCCCAGTTAGGCTACTCAGAGGTCAGCGACCCACTTGAGGAGGCACTCTGTCCGTTCTCAGATCTCAAACTCCATGCTGGCAGAACCACTGCTCTCTTCAAAGCTGTCAGACTGGGACATTTAAGTCTGCAGAAGTTTCTGCTGCCTTTTGTTCAGCTATGCCCTGCCCCCAGAGGTGGAGTCTACAGAGGCAGACAGGCCTTGTTGAGCTGCAGTGGGCTCCACCTAGTTTGAGCTTCCTGCCACTTTGTTTACCTAGTCAAGCCTCAGCAATGGCAGACGCCCCTCCCCCAGCCTCACTGTCACCTCCCAGTTCAATTTTGGACTGCTGTGCTAGCAGTGAGCAACGCTCCATGGGTGTGAGACCCACTGAGCCATGCATGGGATATAATCTCCTGGTGTGCCATTCACTACAACTGTTGGAAAAGCACAGTATTAGGGTGGGAGTGTCCCGATTTTCCAGGTACCATCTCTCATGGCTTCCCTTGGCTAGGAAAGGGAATTCTCTGAGCCCTTGTGCTTCCCTGGTGAGGCAATGCCTTGCCCTGCTTCAGCTCACATTCTGTGGGCAACACTCACTGTGTGACAAGTCCCAATGAGATGAACCCAGTACCTCAGTTGGAAATGCAGAAATCACCCGTCTTCTGCACTGCTCACGCTGGGAGCTGTAGACTGGAGCTGTTCCTATTTGGCTATCTTGGAATGATCTCCCCTGGGATAATTTTTCATGACCAAAAAGGATTCTGGTAATGTGCCAGGATCTTCTCACTGTTATGATTCTTCTGGTATAGGAGATCTGTGATTGGCCAGGCACAGTGGCTCAGACTTGTAATTCCATCAGTTTCGGAGGCCATGGTAGGAGGATTGTTTAAGGCCAGGAGTTTGAAACCAACTGGGGCAAAATAGTGAGACCCCATTCCTACAAAACCTTTAAAAAATTAGTTGGGCATGCTGGTGTGTACCTGTAATGCTATTGCTCAGGAGGCTGAGGCAGGAGGATCACTTGAGCCCAGGAATTCAAGGTTACAATGAGCTATGATTGTGCCACTGCATTCTACCCTGGGCAACAGAGCAAGACCTTGTCTCTGAAATAAATAAATATTATAAAAAGAGATAATGTGGTCAAAGACCAGGGTGTGATCTGTGGCCCAATAAAAATATCTGGTCTTTTTCCCTGTTTCCTGACAAGCAGGTTCCAAAACATTTGCAATCTCCTCAGTGATAAGTATGACTTTAATATGCCAATGAGATGACTATGGGGTGAGGGGCTCCTAAATAGCTTCAGGATGGGGGCTGGTTGCCAGAAACACGAAGCTGTGATTAGAGGATTGGAAATTTCAGCAGTATCCCTTACCTCTGAGAAGCAAAGGGGGCTGGAAGTTGAGTTCAGTCACCAGTGGCCATTGATTTAATTAATCTTGCCTACACAATGAAACTTCCATAGAAACCTCTAGAGATTGGGTTTTGGAGAGCTTCCCAATTGCTGAGCACATCCGTGTGTCCATGTGCTGGGAGGATGGTGAACCTCATCTCCATGGGGACAGAGGCTCCTGTGCTCAGAGCCCTCCCAGGCCACACCCTGTGCACCTCTTCATCTGGCTGCTCATTTGTACCCTTTATAACTGCTATGGTTTGAATGTTTCCCTAGAAAAGCATCTCTTGGATAATTTATCCTGAATGCAACATTTTTAAGAGGTGGGACCTTTGAGAGGTGATTGGACCATCAGAGCTCTGCCTCCATTAATGAATTAAGTTTGATCATAAAAGGACCTGAGGCTGTGAGTTTGACCTCTTATTCCCCCTACCTCTCACCCTCTCTTGCCCTTTTGCTTTCTACCAGGTACTGTCCTTGGTCTTGGAATTCCCATCCTCAACAACCATGAACCAAATAAATTTCTGTTCGTTTTAAGTTATCCAGTCTCAGGTGTTCTACTATAGTGGCATAATTTAAACCAAGAGTCCGTAACCCCCGGCTGTGGACTGGTACAGGTTCCTGGCTTGGCAGGAACCAGACCACACAGCAGGAGGTCACTGGTGGGTGAGAGAGCATGAGCATGACCACCTGAGCTCTGCCTCCTGTCAGATCAGTGGCGGAATTAGATTCTCATAAGAGCATGAACCCTATTGTGAACTCTGCATGTGAGGGATCTAGGTTGCATGCTCCATATGAAACAGTAATGCCTGATCATCTGAGGTGGAACAGTTTCATCCTCAATCCATTCCCCTCTATTCCCTGCCACCTCTGCTGGTCCATGGAAAAATTGTCTTCCATGAAATTGGTCCCTGGTGCCAAAAAGTTGGGACCACTGATTTAAGCTATAACAATAATAAACTACAATACTGAGTGTGAAAGAAAAATAAAATTTAGGGACGCCAAATTCACTATACCAAAGGGACAAGTTAAGTTTGGTAACTGAGTGATGGAAAAACCGCCTTTCTTTTGTTCCTAAACAAATAACTGCAAAGATAGAGGAACATATATCTCCCCAGGTGGCCTCCCTCACAAATTGCTCACCAGATAATTCCTTGTGGGCCCCAACATCTTTACTCTAAAACAGAGTTTTGTTGAATTTCACCCTAACAATGTAAATTAACAGCTTATCTTCACAGGTGAAGGACAAAGACAAGACCAGAAATCATCCCTCCACTCACCTGGAGACAAATGTGTATTTGACTTCTCTACCCAACATTTACTTTGTCTTATGTAAAATGCAGATTTACTGAGCACTCGATGAAAGCATAGTTGACTGTTCCTTTTTCCTCTCCTGCCTGCTCTTTCTCCTGTAAATATTAAAGTCCTCAAAACCCTCTTAGTAAAAAGCATGGGCCACAGATGCTACAATAATTTGTGTCTCTGTTTCCAAGGTACATCTTCAGCTTGGCAAAATAAACTTCTAAATTGATTGATACCTGTCTCAGATGTTTTTTGGTTTACATGGTTATAGCAACTTCCTGAGTTCTTTGAGTTAGTTTAAGAATTCCCAAACCTTGGGAGGTGAGAAACCCCTGACTTTGCAGCCATGATAGACAGAAGTGCAGGTAACCTGGAACCCGATAACTTGTGACTTGCATCTGAAGTGAGGACAGACTTGTGAGACTGAGTCCTTAAACCTGTGGAGTCTGAGGCTAACTCCAGGTAGTTAGTGTCAGAATTGAGTCAAATCCTAGGACTCCCAATTGCTGTTGGAGAATCAGAAAATTATTTGGCTGGAGGAAAACCCCATCACCATCCCACAGAGAGAAACTTACAGTATATTGGGGGAACCCACCCCCAATATTTCAACATAGGTTCTTTCTATTTTCCATAAGTGTCGGCCAGCTGAGAAATAAAGAAAGACAGTACAAAGAGAGGAATTTTACAGCTGGGCCACCAGGGGTGACATCACATATCGGTAGGACCATGATGTCTGCCTGAGTCTCAGACCAACAAGTTTTTATTAAGGGTTTCAAAAGGGGAGGGGGTGTAAGAATAAGGAGTAGGTAAAAAGTCACATGCTTCTGAGTGCAAAAAGCAGAACTACTAATAAGAGTCTAACAAAGATCACATGCTTCTGAGGGAACAAGACAAAGGGCAAAAGCAGAACCACTGATAAGGGTCTATGTTTAGCAGTGCACGTATTGTCTTGATAAACATCTTAAACAACAGAAAACAGGGTTTGAGAGCAGAGAAGTGGTCAGACCACAAGTTTACCAGGGCAGAGTTTTTCCCCACCCTAGTAAGCCTGAGGGTTCTGCAGGAGACCAGGGCGTATCTCAGTCCTTATCTCAACTGCATAAGACAGACATTCCCAGAGCGGCCGTTTATAGACCTCCCCCCAGGAATGAATTCCTTCTTCAGTGTATTAATATTAATATTCCTTGCTAGGAAAAGAATTTAGTGATATCTTTCCTACTTGCACGTCTGTTTATAGGCTCTGCGCAAGAAGAAAAATATGGCTCTTTTTGCCCAACCTCGCAGGCAGTCAGACCTTATGGTTGTCTTCCCTGGTTCCATAAAAATTGCTGTTATTCTATTCTTTTTCAAGGTGCACTGATTTCATATTGTTCAAACACACGTTTTACAATCAAATTGTAGCACTATTATCACAGTGGTCCTAAGGTGACGTACATCCTCAGCTTATGAAGATAACAGGATTAAGAGATTAAAGTAAAGACAGGCATAAGAAATTATAAAAGTATTATTTGGGAACTGTTAAATGTCCATATTAAAATGAAATCTTCACAATTTATGTTCCTCTGCCGCAGCTCCAGCCAGTCCCTCATTCGGGGTCCTTGACTTCCCACAACAACAGTAAGAGTAAGCAAGTAAACCTCTACCTTCTTCGGTCCCAGAGGAAAAGATAAAAAAAAATTAAGCATTTATTTCATGTCCCTAAGTCTGCTAAACACAGGTTTCTACCAGCTGTTCATTGTCCAGACATGGAGTGGCCCTACCTCTAATCTAGAAGTTAGGATTTTTTAGGCCTTTGAGGGGGTCACATAAAAACTAATAAGTGTCAGAGATTCTCTCCCCAGAAATATTTCCACACACAAGAAAATACAAATATTAATATAAAACATCAGTGTGCAACCAGATCCTCTGAGATCTTACAAAACCTGGGTGTTTTAATCCCAGTAAGAGACAATGCCAAGGGAAGATGTGTGAATAATCATTTCACCATCACACCATGCCACTCCAATAATCTGGAGTATGAACTGGGATAGACAAAAACTTGATGTAATAACTTATTTTCAAGGGAATGGGTGGAAAGATGTTATTTATTAGTCACCGGTTGATTCAGACACTCTGAATCCCTACCAGATACTAAATAAATTTCTTGTCTTGGAGCACTGCTCCAATAATTAAAATTTATCATTCTTTTCCCACCCTTCACACTCCAGCACTTGAACCCTCTTACTACGTCAGAATTCCATACTGTCAATGAAAAGAGGCAAACTTCATAAAATATTTGAAGAGATTTATTCTGAGCCAAATACGAGTGACCACAGCCCATGACACGTCCCTCAGGAGACCCTGAGAGCATGTGCTCAATGTGGTTGGGGTATGGGTTGGTTTTATACATTTTAGGAAGATATGAGACACTAATAATATATATTTAAGATATACATTGGTTCAGTCCAGAAAAGCAGAACAATTTGAAGCAAGCGAGGGTTGGGGGTTACTGCTTCTAGGTTATAGGTAGATTTTAAAATGTTCTGATTGGCAATTGGTTGAGTTATTATCAATAAAAAGGAATGTCTGGGTTATGATAAGAGGTTGTGGAGTCCAAAATTTTATCATGCAGTTGAAGCCTCCAGGTGCCAGGCTTCAGAGAGAATAGATTATAATGTTTCTGATCAGACTTAAGGTCTGTGTTGATGTTAATTGCTGGTCAGCTTTTCCTGAATTCCAAAAGGTAAGAGGCCATAATGAGGCATGTTCAACACCTGCTTCCCATGGTGGCCTGAGCCAGTCTTTCAAGTTAATTTTTGAGCGCCCTGGCTGAGGAGGGTGTCCATTAAGATGGTTGGGAGAGGGTGGGTTTGAAGTTTATTTTCGGTTTACAACATGTAATGTGTTAAGAGGAGATAGAAACCACCCCCATCCCTAGAAGAGCACAACACTCCAGTCACCCCTGCAGTTGATAATGGACATGAGTCTTAAACTCCATCAGTCAGATGACCACCTGCTGAAGCAGCATTGTTGTCTCAGGTAAATACTCAGGGTTCATTGTATCTCACCAAGAAGATTAAGGACAGTGACACACAAGGAGTGAGTTTATTGGCCGGTGCTATGTTGTCTGCTCTTTACTGAACACATGGCTGGCAAAAAGAAGGGAAGATGGAGCCATCACTGTGAACACGCCTAGTCCCAGATGTCCTTTTCCTATTGGCACAGCTGCCAGCATTCACTTGTGCAAGCTTCCAGCTTGCTTGTCTATGTCTGAAGCTTGATTTTACAGGCTGGTCTTTGTCAGAAAAGAAAACGATTTGGGGCCTGCTTTCCATTAAAAAGAAAACCTTACTGAGACTTCTGTACCCTCACTACCTGCCTAAATAATTTCTTCTTAAATCCTATATCACTGCCAGACTCTGAGCTAGAATGAGGTGACACAGAAAGGCTGGGATTGTGCAGAATGCATTTTAGTAAACATGGCTGAGTGTCAGTAGTGATGTCCAGTTGCCAGGGGCAGCAGTGACATCTATCCTAGCCTTGGGGTCCAGTGTCCAGCACCAGGATGTCAGAGGTGTGAGCAGTGGTGTCTGTGCTCAGCAGCAGGGGCAGTTGTTCCTAGGAGGGACCTGATCCAGGGGCGTGGGCTATGGATTCTTTTCTGGGATGTGTAGTTTTCAGCCTGGTTCTGTGGCCTTCCCCACAATAAAATTAACCCCCAATACCAGGTATACTACTTTATGTATAAATTACAGAAATTTGTTTTCCATAGTTTTCTCCAAGAAGTGAGTGAGAAATGAATCTATGGACCAGGGTCAGAGAGCAGCATTCGGAGGTGTTCCTTGTGTGACAGCCACATCCTGAATTGTCTACCTGGCCTCTACCTCATGGTGGAGAGATCAACAGGGATTATCACATCTCTTAACTGATGATATACATCCTCCCTTTCCTTTCTGCAAGAAAAATCCTCTTTTAAACAGGGTTTGAAAACCCACCCACCCACCCTGGGCACTCTCTGATCTCTGAGGTTCCTGATCTGGCTGAGCAACAAGATTTCTGGTGGAGGCTTAGAAAATACTCAGGCCACTCCTCAGAACCCCTGTCTCACAATATTATGCACAAGACCAAGGAATCATTTACATAACAAGCCCTACAGGCGAGGCCGATGCAGACGTGGGGTCCTGGTGTTCTGGCTACTCCAAGTGTGATCTGGAGACCAGCAACGTGAGCTCCAGCCTTGTCATAAATCCAGAATCTCTTGCTCGACTCCAGACTTCCTGGATCTCAGCACCACATCCAGGTGATCCTGGTGCACACGGGAGTTCCTTGTCTAAGCGTCCTCTAGACATGGGGCCAGAACTGTGCAGTCTGCTCTGTGGTCTGATCAGATCCCTTAGAACTGGAGGTCCAGGGTTCAGTCCTTGCGCTGATTCTTTTCCACAGTCAATCACTCCCTTGGTGCTTCATCCATGCTTGAGGTTTTAAGTATCGTTTATGTGGTGTGAGCTCCTAAATCTATTTCTCCAGCCCAGTCCTTTCCCCTGAACTGTGGAGTTGTCTGCCCAGCTGCCACCCCAGCTCCCCCACCTGCATTCCTAGTAGACATCTCCTCCACTGAGTGCCTGTGATGCCCCCTCCTCAGGATGCTCCTGCCAGAGTCTCCCCATCTCCACTGACAGCAGCTCCACCCTTCCTTCTACTCACTCATTTTACAACTATGGGTGTCCTTGATTCGTCTTTCTCACACCACAGATACAATCCATTGGCAAATGCTGTGAGTCCATCTTCAAATGCATCCAGAATCCCCTCACGTCCCACTATTTCCTGTGCTCACACCCCAGTCAAGGTAACCGACATCTCCAGCCTGGAATACTGCACTCGATTCCTACTGTTTTCCCTTCTGCCTCCCTCATCCCTCGCCTCTCAATTCTGTTCTCAGCACAGCCATCAGAGATCCTTTTAAGAAAGAAGTCATATCATGGCTCTCTTCTGCTCAAAACTGTCCTCTAACTCCCCATCCCACTCAGAGCGAGGTCAGACGCAACCCCACTCCCCTCAAGCCCACCTGCTCTGGCCATACCTCTGACCTCATCTAGTTTCTCTGTCCAGCCCTCCTGGCCTCCTTGCTCTTCTGGGAACACAGACACCTTCCTGCCCTAGTACATTTGGACTGGAGTTTCCTTGCCTAGAAAGAACTTCCCCAGACATCCTCATGTCCCTCAAATCTTTCCTCAAAGGTCATCTTTGCAACAAGGCACACATTGACAACTCCTGTCCAACAGCCACCTTCCCTGTCCCCACTGCCCATACCCGGATCACCTGCCTCATGGCACTTACCACCTTCCATCACTTTCTTTTCTTACTGTGGTTATAGTGTATGTATCGTCTGCCTCTTACCACTGAAGCATATGCTCAGATATTTTTCTGATTTTACTTCAATGGTGTTCCCCAGATGCAGAACTTTTCTGTCCTGTGTCTGGCTGACAACAAAGGTCAGTTGAATGATCAGTGTAGAGCACCTCCTACTCTAAAGCCAGTATCTTTATTAACATAGCCTCAGGCCAAGTGCTGTTTTGTGGCAGCTGCAGCACAAGGTCCCCTCACACTGACACCGAGGCCGCCTGTACTTTTCTCAGCAGGGCTGCTTGTGTGTCCTCCCTCCCCTATCCCTCCTCCCACACCAACCGCCCCGCACACTGCAGCACACGATCAGGTTTCTCTCTTCAGGAAGGAACAATTCTAGACTATGGACCCAATTTTACAAACAAATATAAATCTAAATTAGGCTCTGCTTTAGATTCATGAGTTGGGATTGGAGTCAGCACGAAGATTACTGGAATCAGGGAAGGGAGAGAGGACAGGAGACCAAAGCAGAAGAGGAGCCCTAGAAGGAGGGCAGGAGCTGAATGGGTCTGAAAATTTGTCTCAGAAAGCACAGGGACTCCCGTGTGCAGGGGCTGCCCTGGGCGATGTGTGAGCCTCTGTGGTCACAGCTCCCGCTGGACAAGTTTCCACTGAAGGGACAAGGACAATGGAGCAGTGAAGGTGACCCAGCTGAGGACTGACCACATAAAGCCCATGAAGAACTGAACAGCAACTAGGCACAGGCCCCGTCCACACTCGTCTCCTCACAGCCTTCCCCACCCCCACCTGCAACAGACTCAGCACAGCGAACATGCGGATTCTGGAAGGTTCTCAGGTCTTTATTTGCTCTCTCAACTTCCAGGAATTGACTTATTTAATTAATCCATCAACCTCTCATAGCAAATATTTGAGAAAACAAATTTATATTCAGATTCTTATTTTCAGTAGGGAAGTAAGAAGTTGCAGCTCAGTACACGTAAAGTTGAGACAGAGATGGAGACATCCAGCCCACTTCTCTGGAACAGGAAAGATGATCGGGGAGGGAACACAGGTCAGTGTGGGGACAGGGGTCACGGTGGACACGGGGGTGGGCTGTCTCTCCACCTCCTCACATTATGCTAACAGGAACGCAGACACATTCAGATGCCTTTGCAGAAAGAGATGCCAGAGGCTCTTGAAGTCACAAAGGAGAGGTGTGAAGAAATCCTGCATCTCAGTCCCACACAGGCAGCTGTCTCAGGCTACAGAACACAATAGTCATGAACAAATTCAGGTCAGTCATGGTAAGTGATGACACTCTGAACAGCTCACCACACATTCGAAACGTCCCAATCAAAGGATCCCCATTACCTAGGCCTTTTCCCTCTGCCCCACCCCAGACCACTTCAGCTCCCCAGAATCTCACCTTTACAAGCGATGAGAGACTCATCAGAGCCCTGGGCACTGTTGCTGGCTGGGGTAGAACAAAAAAAAAGACCTGGTCAGAGCCCGCAGGAGATGTGGGACAAGAGGAATTATGGGGTGGGTGAGCTCCTCCACACGCCCACCGCCATCACTTACACGCAGCCTGAGAGCAGCTCCCTCCTTTTCCACCTGTGGGAAGAAAATGCCCTGTGAGGGGACAGGGAGGAGGCAGGGCCATGCGATCTTAGGGGAACCTCCTAGTCTTGGACCCAAGAGAAGTTTCCAGAACTATGACTGCAGACCCAGGGCAGGATCAGGAAACACGGGGAAAGCAGCTGTGGGTTCTGGAGCAACTGCCCTCCTAAGGTCTGTCCTTAGCAGGGACCTTCCCCTGACTCATGAATGCTGGAATCAAGGACCCCAACACCATAATCATCAAGGTGATACATCTGTCCTTCATTGTCATGTGCTTCACAACAGAGTAAGTGCTAGCACACAGGGTCCCAGGCTGGGATGGCCCATGTGTGGATGGTGCTTCCAGTAACGAGGTGGGGCACACTTCTACCTGGGGCTTGAAACTCCCAGTGGGACAAGAAAACCCAGACCCCACTCCTCACCCCTTCCCTACCTGAGCTCTTCCTCCTACACATCACAACAGCCATCACAGCTCCTAGGACAGCTAGGACAGCCAGGACAGCCAGGCCAGCAACGATGCCCACGATGGGGATGGTGGGCTGGGAAGATGGCTCTGGGAAAGGAGGGGAAGGTGAGGGGCCCTGACCCCCAAGCCTCAGCCCTGACCCGGCTGAAGGGCTCCAGGACTTCTGCTTTCCCTGAGAAGACACATGACCCCTCATCCCCCTCCTTACCCCATCTCAGGGTGAGGGGCTCTGGCAGCCCCTCGTGCTGCACATGGCACGTGTATCTCTGCTCTTCTCCAGAAGGCACCACCACAGCTGCCCACTTCTGGAAGGTTCCATCTCCTGCTGGCCTGGTCTCCACAAGCTCGGTGTCCTGAGTTTGGTCCTCGCCATCCCGCTGCCAGGTCAGTGTGATCTCCGCAGGGTAGAAGCCCAGGGCCCAGCACCTCAGGGTGGCCTCATGGTCAGAGACGGGATGGTGGGTCACGTGTGTCTTTGGGTGTTCTGACGGGAAGAGTCAGAAAATTCAGACACTTTGTATCTCTCTTGCGACACTCCAACAGCGCCCATGTGACCATCCTGAGAATGGACAGGACACCTGGGGTGGGGAAGGGGGCACAGAACCCAGACGCCAGCCTGGACACAGGCACCTGGGATAATCTCCTATTCATTGGAAAGTTCTAGTCTCTGAGGGAGGAACAGCGACTTCTGGTCCTGACCTGAGTGGAGGCCGAAGGACTCAGAAAAGCTGGAATCAAACCTTTAAACACATTGAGCGTGAGGCAGAGAACAAGGCCTGAGAGAAAGGTCAGCAGCCTGACCACAGCTGCTGCAGTGGTCAAAGTGGTCAAAGGGGACCCCTGATCAGTATTCCAGGGACTGTCTTCCCCTCCATTTCCTCAAGGACTTCATCCCTTAATTGTCCTAGAGAGCAGAGGGGGCCCTCAGAGGAAACTCAGGAAAACTCATCCCATTCTCCATTCAAGGGAGGGCGATATTCTAGCGCTGATCCCATTTTCCTCCCCTCCTCGTGGGAGGCCATCCCGGGAGATCTACAGGAGATGGGGAAGGCTCCCCACTGCCCCTGGTACCCGCGCGCTGCAGCGTCTCCTTCCCGTTCTCCAGGTATCTGCGGAGCCACTCCACGCACGTGCCCTCCAGGTAGGCTCTCCACTGCTCCGCCTCACGGGCCGCCTCCCACTTGCGCTGGGTGATCTGAGCCGCCGTGTCCGCGGCGGTCCAGGAGCGCAGGTCCTCGTTCAGGGCGATGTAATCCTTGCCGTCGTAGGCGGACTGGTCATACCCGCGGAGGAGGCGCCCGTCGGGCCCCAGGTCGCAGCCATACATCCACTGGAGGGTGTGAGACCCTGGCCCCGCCCCCGTGGTCAGCCCCGTCCCCCGAGCCCCGCCCCAGCCCCGACCAACCCGCGGGGATTTTGGCCTAAACTGAAAATGAAACCGGGTAAAGGTGACTGGGGCTCTCTCCGGTCGAGGGTCTGGGCGGGTTCCGCAGCCTCGGGGTGGATCTCAGACCGGGAGACTCGGGGCGACCCGGGCCGTCCGTGGGGGATGGGGAGGGGTCGTGACCTGCGCCCCGGGCCGGGGTCACTCACCGTCCTCGCTCTGGTTGTAGTAGCCGCGCAGTTTCCGCAGGTTCACTCGGTCAGCCTGTGCCTGGCGCTTGTACTTCTGTGTCTCCCGGTCCCAATACTCCGGCCCCTCCTGCTCCACCCACGGCGCCCGGGGCTCCCCTCTCGGACTCGCGGCGTCGCTGTCGAACCGCACGAACTGCGTGTCGTCCACGTAGCCCACTGAGATGAAGCGGGGCTCTCCGCGGCCGGGCCGGGACACGGCGGTGTCGAAATACCTCATGGAGTGGGAGCCTGGGGGCGAGGAGGGGCTGAGACCCGCCCGACCCACCTCCCTGCGCGGCTCCCCGGGTCCTGCGCCCTCGCCGGGCGGGCCCCTCGCTCCTCTCCGCAGAGGCCGTTTCCCTCCCAACCCCGCACTCACAGGCCCAGGTCTCGGTCAGGGCCAGGGCTCCCGAGAGCAGCAGGATGAGGGTTCGGGGCGCCATGACCCGCATCTCGGCGTCTGGGGAGAATCCGAGTCCGGGTGGGTGACTGGGGACTTTAGAACCGGGACTGCGGAGACGCTGATTGGCTTCTCTAGAACCCGACACCCAATGGGAGTGGGAATTGGGGACGCGTCATGAGTATTCAGGAAGAAGGACCCGACGCAGGTTGGGAGAAGAAGTGAAACTCAGGGGAGTGGAGAATCCTCAACGCGGCGCCTCCCCAGTGCAGACACGGCCCTTGGAGCCTGAGACCCTGAGAGCCCCGCCCGGGACCTGGGACTTCGTCCTGATCCCTCTTCTCCTACACCAAGCATCTTTGTCACACTGTGTGCCTGAGTCCTGGCCAAGGATCTGTCTGTGGAAACCAGGGAGAGACCCCCAGGCTGCGCCCAGCCCCTTCCCCTTCACTTCTCCTGGAATCCCCGTCCCTGAACTGGACTCCCTGCCTCCCACTCTTTGCCTTACCTTACCTCAGGTAATATTAAACTACATCCAGCAAAATAAAGGACACTTACCTCTCCCCTTGGACTCTTGTACAGGGAAACTCACCATGGGGAACTTGATGCCAGACAGTGAGCTCGCCCTGGGAATGGACGTGTAGAGTCAGGAGTTTTCTCTTTAAACCTGGTGAAGTTTTGTCTGAAAGCACCAGGTAGAGATTCTCATAGAGACCAGTTTCCTTTTTGTTTATTGATACAGTAGGTAGCACAATATTGGTAATCCCTGAATGATTAGAATTCCAATCTGTGAAAGACCTGTGTCAAAACTGCATTACAATTAAATTCTCAAAGCTCCTGTTTTACTTTCGCAGACTATGGATCTGTGACTCTGGGTTGTTGCATTTAAAATTATCCTCATTCTCTAGCCCGAGTTTCCTTGTGTGAGTCCAGAACATCTCCTGAATACAAAGAAGCAGGGTTTGTTACCGTCTATTGCAACCGGGAGCCTGTAGTCATCACCTCAAAGTTGCGAGGGCTCCATGCAGTCCCAATGCTCTTCACCAGCGCTCCAGCACTGCCCGTTTTCGTGAACTATGCACATCTAAGCAGTGTGCATATTTTATTTGGACACTTGATATTTTTGTAACACCTTTTTAAAAAAAATCATAAGGAGGCCATTAGTTTTAAGGCAGTCACACAAAATGTATTAAATACCGGATGCAAAGAACCCCCTGCCAGGCTCTTCTACTGCTTTAGAATTCTTTCCTCTGCTCCTTTTCCTCACCTCCTGCTTCTCCAGCCCTTCTGTCTGCCCCTCTCATCCTTCACACCCTCTTTCCCCCTTAGTCCCCGCCACCCTGTCACTCCTGAATTGTGGCACTAACACTGTCCCTCACTTCCTGCCCATGTCTGTTCTCCCCACAGTGCTCAGCAGTCCTGCTAATGTGACTCAGGTCGTGTCATTTCTTCACTTATAATGGTTGGATTTTGGTCTACCATTTTGCTATACGTTTTCAATTTGTCTCATATCTTTTTGTTTCTGTTCCTCCTTTGCTACTTTCTTATGTGTCAAGTAAACATTTTTCAGCTTATGGTTTTAATTCTCCTAGTGGCTTTTAGCTATATTTCTTTACATTAATTTTTTATTGTTGTAAGAATTGAAACCCAATTCCTTGACTTTTCACAGTGAAATTCAGGTAATATTAAGCTGCATCCAGCAAAATAAAGGACACTTCAAATGGTGTAGTTTCATTTAAACTATCATTATGCTATTATTATTGTATATGTTACATCAATATACGTTATAAACTCAACGATACAGTGTAATACTTTTTGTTTTAGACAAGCAGTCACATATCTTCAGGAAATTAAGAAAATGGGTGTGTATGTGATATGTGTATGTGCATCATTTCTGTTGTTAATTGTTCCTTTCTGTATATCTGGGTCACCATCTAGTATCATTTCCCTTCAGCCTGTAGAACGTCCTTTAAAATTACATGTAGTACAGGACCCCTAGGAAATGAATTTTATGGGTTTGATGATCTAACAATGTCTTTATTTTTGCCTTCTTTCCTCCCCCCTCCCCCCCCCTTTTTTTTTTGCTTATTAGGGCGTTTACGTGTAAAAAAATTCACCAGTTTTAGCTGCACTTTTTGGTGGATATTGGTAATTATTTATAGTGTAACTACCACACTGCCCAGTAGAGAAACACCAAATGCAAAGATCCTCCTACTAGGCCCCTCCACTGCTTTAGAGTCCTTTCCCCTGCTCCTCGTCCTCTCCTCCTGCTTCCCCAGCCCTTCTCTCTGCCCCTTATCCCTCAGACCTTCTCCCCTTACTTCCCCCTCCCAGTCACTCCTGAATTGTGGCGCTGTAGAGGACAGTTTCTTTTCCCTAAAAACTTTCTTTATGCCCCTTTCTATTTAATCCTTGCCTCCCACCCTCACCCCCTTCCCTTCATTCAACCACTGCTGTGCTTTCTGTCACTGCAATAGTGACATTTCTAGAATTTCATGGACATGCAATCATATGTTATGTAGTCTTTTGTTTGGTCTCTCCCTTAGCATAACGATGTTTGAGATGATGCCATTCATTCATTTTTGTTGCTGAGCAGCTGCCGAGTATTGCTGGAATCCCAGTTTATTCATTGGTTTCTGTGTCTCCAGTTGATAGACATGTGGATTCCTCCAGTTAGGGCTTGTTATTAATGAAGCCACTATAAATAACTGCTTACAAGTGTGGCCTTACATTTTTATTTCTTTTGGATAAATACATATTTGTGGAATTGCTGGGCCATGTGGTAATAGATGGGTAACTGTATAAGAAATTGCCATACCACTTTACAAATTGGCTGCCACATTTCTTGCATTCCTACCAGCAATATCAGACATTCCTATTTTTTCCATATTCTTGCCAGTGATAAGACTTATCATATGTCTTTTTAACTTTACCTGCTCTAGGTGATGTGTGATGGTTTCTCATTGTGGTTTTAACTTGCACTTCTTAGATGACTAGTATTGTTTGCTATCTTTTTATGTTCATCTAAGTGACTTATTACATATATTTTATGAACTATTTTGCAAATTCAATGATTAATTCCAGAGACTTTTTCAGAATTCCCTAGTGTTTTCTACATATACAATGAAGCTGGTGACAAAGAAAGACTTTCATTTCTTCCTTTCTTATCCATTGATCTGTTTTCTTTTAAAATTATTATTATTTGGTAGAGATGAGGTCTCACTTATCAGGCTGGTCTCAAACTCCTGATCTCAAGTGATCCTCCCACCTCAGCCTCCCAAAATGCAGGGATTACAGGCATGAGCCACCATGCCTGGTCCTTGTTGCACTGGTTAGGATGGCTGTTAGGTGTTTAAACAAGAATGATGAGAGCTCACATGTTTGTTTACAAGGAACTTAAACAAATTTACAAGAAAAAAACCCATCCCCATCAAAAAGTGGGCAAAGGATATAAACAGACACTTCTCAGAGGAAGACATTTACGTGGCCAAGAAACATATGAAAAAAAGCTCACACACGTATATGAAACGTGACTGTTTATAATCCTATCCAAAAAAGACCTGATTTCAAGCAACAGCAGGATTGCTTCCGTTCAATACTTGGACCTGCAAACATCAAAAAAGCCACTGGAGAAACTGAACGACTCTCTGAAAGCCTTAAACTAAGATATGAAGAAGTTGAAATCTGGAAAAAACTTGAGGAAAAGGACAGGCAGGGGGAAGCACAGTGGCTACAACAAAAAAGGCAGGAAACAGGAAGAGAGGATGGCAGCACGTTGGCTAAAGATTCTTTGGAGATTGTATTGGATTCCAAAGACAAAACCCAAAAGATCAATGGTGAAAAGAATGAAAAATGTGAGACCAAAGAGAAAGGAGCAATCACAGCAAAGGAACTATACACAATGATGATGGATAAAAACATCAGCTTGATTATAATGCATGCTCAAAGAATGCAGTATTATCAGGATTCCTGTATTTTACATTCTCTCAGTGTTCCTGAAAAAGCCATCAGTCCAGGAGTCACTGCTAGCTGGATTGAAGCACACCTCCCAGATGATTCTATAGATACATGGAAGAAGAGGGGGAATGTGGAGTATATGGTACTTCTTGACTGGTTTAGTTCTGCAAAAGATTTACAGATTGGAACAACACTCTGGCATCTGAAAGATGCACTTTTCAAGTGGGAAAGTAAAACTGTCCTGTGCAATGGGCCTTGGGCCTTTGGTTTTAGAGGGAGGCTATAAAAACTGGTTCTTTTGCTATTCCCAGTATACAACAAATGCTAAGGTCACTCCACCCCCACAACACCAGAATGAAGAGTTGTCTATCTCATTGGATTTTACTTATCCCTCATTGGAAGAATCAATTCCTTCTAAACCTGCTGCCGAGATGCCACCTCCACCTATAGAAGTGGATGAAGACATAGAATTGATAAGTGATCAAATAAGTGATAATGATCAAAATGAGAGGACAGGACCACTGAATATATCAATTCCAGTTGAATCAGTTGCTGCTTCTAAATCTGATGTTTCACCCATCATTCAGCCAGTGCCTAGCATAAAGAATGTTCCACAGATTGATCATACTAAAAAACTGGCAGTCAAATTGCCTGAAGAGCATATAATCAAATCTGAAAGTACAAATCATGAGCAACAGTCTCCTCAGAATGAAAAAGTTATTCCTGATTGTTCCGCCAAGCCAGTAGTTTCCTCTCCAACTCTCATGTTAACAGATGAAGAAAAGGCTCATATTCATGCAGAAACTGCTCTTCTAATGGAGAAAAACAAACAAGAAAAAGAACTTCAGGAAAGACAGCAAGGGAAACAGAAAGAAACTGAGGAGGGAAGAACACGAGCAAAAAGCCAAAAAGAAACAAGAAGCTGCAGAAAATGAAATTACACAGAAGCAACAAAAAGCAAAAGAAGAAATGGAGAAGAAAGAACGTGAACAGGCCAAGAAAGAGGATAAAGAAATCTCAGCAAAGAAGGGCAAAGAAATAACAAGAGTAAAAAGACAAAGTAAAAGTGATCATGAAACCTCTGGTGCCGAGAAGTCTGTAGAGGACAGGGGGAGAAGATGTTCAACCCCAGAAGTACAGAAAAAGTCAACAAGAGATGTGTCCCATACATCTGCGACAGGGGATTCAGGTTCAGGCAAGCCTTTTAAGATTAAAGGACAACCAGAAACTGGAATTCTAAGGACAGAAACTTTTAGAGAGGATACAGATGATACTGAAAGAAATAAAACTCAACGAGAACCTTCGATAATAGCACGAAGTGAAGAAATGGGGAGGATGGTACCAGGACTGCCTTCAGGCTGGGCCAAGTTTCTTGATCCAATCACTGGAACGTTTCATTATTATCATTCACCACTAACACTGTTCATATGTACCCACTGGAAATGGCTCCTTCATCTGCACCTCCTTCCACCCCTCCAACTCATAAAGGCAAGCCACAGATTCCTGCTAAGCAGGATAGGGAACCTTCCAAACTGAAATGCTCTTACTCCTCCCCAGATATAACCCAGGCTATTCAAGAGGAAGCCAGCAGTAACTCCAACAGTTAATCAGGAAGACAAGCCAACATGCTACCCTAAAGCTGAGATCTCAAGGCTTTCTGCTTCTCAGATTTGGAAACTCAATCCTGTTTTTGGAGGTTCTGGACCAGCTCTTACTGGACTTCGTAACTTAGGAAATGCTTGTTATATGAACTCAATATTGCAGTGCCTATGTAATGCTCCACATTTGGCTGATTATTTCAACCGAAACTGTTATCAGGATGATATTAACAAGTCAAATTTGTTAGGGGCATAAAGGTGAAGTGGCAGAAGAATTTGGTATAATCATGAAAGCCCCGTGGACAGGACAGTATAGATATATCAGTCCAAAAGACCTTAAAGTCACCATTGGGAAGATCAATTACCAGTTTGCAGGATACAGTCAAGATTCACAAGAATTTCTTCTGTTCCTAATGGATGGTCTCCATGAAGATCTAAATAAAACTGATAATCGGAAGACATATAAAGAAGAAAATAATGATCATCTCAATGACTTTAAAGCTGCAGAACATGCCTGGCAGAAACACAAGCGGCTCTATGAGTCTATTATTGTTGCACTTTTTCAGGGTCAATTCAAATCTACAGTACAGTGCCTCACCCGTCACAAAAAGTCTAGGACACTTGAGGCCTTCATGTATTTGTCTCTACTGATAGCATCCACAAGTAAATGTACATTATAGGATTGCCTTAGATTATTTTCTAAAGAAGAAAAACTCATAGATAATAACAGATTTTACTGCAATCTTTGCAGAGCTCGACGGGATTCTTAAAAAAGAAATCTGGAAGTTACCACCTGTGCTTTTAGTGCATCTGAAACATTTTTCCTACAATGGCAGGTGGAAACAAAAATTACAGACATCTGTGGACTTCCCGTTAGAAAATCTTGCCTTGTCACAGTATGTTATTGGTCCAAAGAACAATTTGAAGAAATATAATTTGTTTTCTGTTTCAGATCACTGCGGTGGGCTGGATGGAGGCCATTACACAGCCTACTGTAAAAATGCAGCAAAACAGCGGTGGTTTAAGTTTGATGATCATGAAGTTTCTGATATCTCTGTTTCTTCTGTGAAATCTTCAGCAGCTTATATCCTCTTTTATACTTCTTTGGGACCATGAGTAACTGATGTAGGCACATAAGGAGACATAGGTTATAAACTAGTTATCTTTTAAAAGGCTCAGCAACACAATTCTTGAAATGCTTATCAAGATAATGGTAGCAATAGCTGGCCATTTAGAGGAATTCTAGGACAGTGGGAGCTGTGTTACTAGCACTATATAATTCCTGTCAGTGGTGACAAATAACACTTAACAAGTATTGCAGTAAGCATCACTTACAGGTACCATTTATTTCAAAACAACTTTTTTAGTCTGCTCCAAAGTTAAAATAATTAACTAGCTAAGCATTATTATTCTACTGGTCTAAAAACCATTGTACCCTTTTTTTCCTTTTCACTGTTACAGCCTTTTCACATTTCTAAATCCCATCTTCATATACTATGAATACTCTAGAATGATGTGAAGCAGATAGGAATGTATGTGTACATATTTATTGCATACTTACACATCAAATCGATATACATAGTTTAACATGTGGTCCTTTCGTGAAACTTAGAGGATTGCATTTTTTTCTTTGAGCATATTTTGAGTAACTGCAGTGCTTTCTTAGGGAAATGACAGGGCAAAGCTATTTTTCTGTTGGCTTTGGGGGCATTTGGGTGCACTAAATCTTTATCTTAAAAAATAAATGGAAACTTCCTTTAATTTTTTGAAATGAGACATTAAAATCTTAATGAGAAAAATTAAAAAAGCTCAATATCACTGCTCATTAGAGAAATGTAAATCAAAGCCACAATGAGATACCATCTCCCACCAGTCAGAATGGTAATTATTAAAAAGTCAAGAAACAATAGATGCTGGCGAGGCTGTGGAGAAATAGGAACACTTTTACACTGTTGTTGGGAATGTAAACTAGTTCAACCATTGTGGAAGACAGTGTGGCCATTCCTCAGAGACCTAGAACCAGAAATATTATTTGACCCCTTGGGTATCTACCCAAAGGAATATAAATCATTCTACTATAAAGACACATGCACACGTATGTTTACTGCAGCACTATTTACAATAGCAAAGACTTGGAACCAACCCAAATGTCCATCAGTGATAGATGGATAAAGAAAATGTGGTGCATACCACCATGGAATAGTACACAGCCAGAAAAAGGAATGAGTTCATGTCCTTTGCAGGGACATGGATGAAGCTGGAAGTCATCATCCTCAGCAAACTAACACGGGAACAGAAAACAAAGCACCTCATGTTCTCATTCCTAAGTGAGAGTTGAACAATGACAACACATGGACACAGGGAGGGGAACAACACATATCAGGGCCTTTTGGGGAGTGTGGGGGGCAAGGGACGGGAACTTAGAGGATGGGTCAATAGGTGCAGCAAACCACCATGGCAGACTATACGTATGTAACAAACCTGCAGGTTCTGCACATGTATCCTGGAACCTAAAGTAAAATAAAACAAAGCAAATTAAAAAAAGAAAGCCCATGTCTTACATGTATGCATATGTTCATTGCAGCACTATTCACAATAGCAAAGACATGGAATCAACCTAAATGTCCATCAATGGTAGACTGGATAAAGAAAATGTGGCAAATATGCTCTACCGGCAGGATTTGATGGCGTGATGTCTCACAGAAAGTTCTCCACTCCCAGACATGGGTCCCTCGGCTTCCTGCCTTGGAAGCGCAGCAGCAGGCATCGTGGGAAGGTGAAGAGCTTCCCTAAGGATGACCCGTCCAAGCCGGTCCACCTCACAGCCTTCCTGGGATACAAGGCTGGCATGACCCACATCGTGCGGGAAGTCGACAGGCCAGGATCCAAGGTGAACAAGAAGGAGGTGGTGGAGGCTGTGACCATTGTGGAGAGGCCACCAGTGGGCATTGTGGGCTGCGTGGAAACCCCTCAAGGCTTCCGGACTTGCAAGACTGTCTTCGCTGAGCACATCAGTGATGAATGCAAGAGACGTTTCTATAAGAACTGGCATAAATCTAAGAAGAAGGCCTTTACCAAGTACTGCAAGAAATGGCAGGATGAGGATGGCAAGAAGCAGCTGGAGAAGGACTTCAGCAGCATGAAGAAGTACTGCCAAGTCATCTGCGTCATTGCCCACACCCAGATGCAACTGCTTCCTCTGTGCCAGAAGAAGGCCCACCTGATGGAGATCCAGGTGAATGGAGGCACTGTGGCTGAGAAGCTGGACTGGGCTGGCGAGAGGCTCAAGCACCAGGTACCTGTGAACCAAGTGTTTGGGCAGGATGAGATGATCGACGTCATCAGGGTGACCAAGGGCAAAGGCTACAAAAGGGTCACCAGTCGTTGGCACACCAAGAAGCTGCCCCGCAAGACCCATCAAGGCCTGTGCAAGGTGGCCTGTATTGGGGCATGGCATCCTGCTCGTGTGGGCTTCTCTGTGGTACGTGGTGGGCAGAAAGGCTACCATCACCGCACTGAGATCAACAAGAAGATCTATAGGATTGGCTAGGGCTACCTTATCAAGGATGGCAAGCTGATCAAGAACAATGCCTCCACTGACTATGACCTGTCTGACAAGAGCATCAACCCTTTGGGTGGCTTCGTCCACTATGGTGAAGTGACCAATGACTTTGTCATGCTGAAAGGCTGTGTGGTGGGAACCAAGAAGTGGGTGCTCACCCTCCACAAGTCCTTGCTGGTGCAGACAAAGCAGCGGGCTCTGGAGAAGATTGACCTTAAGTTCATTGACACCCCCTCCAAGTTTGGCCATGGCCGCTTCCAGACCACGGAGGAGAAGAAAGCATTCATGGGACCACTCAAGAAAGACCGAATTGCAAAGGAAGAAGGAGCTTAATGCTGGGAACAGATATTGCAACTGGTGGGATCTCAATAAAAGTTATTTTCCATTAAAAAAAAAAGAAAAAGAAAATGTGGCACATATACACCACAGAATACCATGCAGCCATAAAAAAGAATGAGATCATGTCCTTTGCAGGAACATGGATGGAGTTGGAGGCCATTATCCTTAGCAAACTGAGGCAGGAACAGAAAACCAATTACCACATGTTCTCACTTATAAGTAGGAGTTATATGATGAGAACACATGGACACGCAGAAGGGAACAACACACACTAGGGTCCACTTGAGGGTAGAGGGTGGGAGGAGGGAGAGGATCAGGAAAAATAGCTAATGGGTACTAAGGCTTAATACTTGGGTGGGTACTAATGGGTACAGAAATAATCTGTACAATAAAACCGCATGACACAAGTTTACCTATATAACAAACCTGTACATGTACTCCTTAACTAAAAATAAAAGTTAAATTAAAAAAAAAAGAAACAAAGAAACTGCATATCTGGAAAGAGCATATGGTTGGGTTCTGTGTTTTGTTTTTTTTTTTTAACCAATTCACACAATCTCTGCCCTTCATTGGAGTGTTGATTCATATAGGTTTTTTTTTCATTATTGATAAGTTTTAGGTCTACCATGTTATTTCCTCAGTTTTGGTTTCTCTGTTCCTCTTGTCCTGACCAACGACTTCTTATTAGAAACCATAGAAACAAAAGAAAGTAGAATAACACCTTTAAAGTGCTGGAAGAAAAAAAGGACAACTAAGAATTCTATATCCAGCACAGATGTCCTTCAAGGACAGGCAAAATAAGGAGATGTTTCAGGTAAAAGAAAATTAAGAGAATTTGTCACCAGCAGATCTGCACAATAACAATTGGTAAAGAAAATTCTTCAGGCTAAAGGCAAATGATACCAGGTGGGAAATGAGGTTATCAGAAAAGATGAAGATGATCAAAAATGGTAAATACTGAGCTAAGTGCAAAAGGCTATCTTGTTCCCCTCATTTACTCTAATTTATATACATAGAACTGTTTAAAGATAAGAAGAAGTTTTTTTCTTGTGGGACTTATAACCTATATAGATATATTACATATAATATCTGTACCATAAAGATGGACATTTTATAGAGGATAAATGGTTGCAAGATTTCTCTATTTATGGGTACTAGTACATTTTTAACTGAAAGTGGACTGTGAAATGTTAAGAAGAGTTAAATTCTGAAGGAAATTGAGACACAAAAACCATTCAAAAGATTAACAAATCTCATGATGGTTTTTTGAAAAAAACAAAACAAAACAAAATAAAAACTAAACAAAAATAAAACCCTAGCCAGTCTTGAGTCTCATCATTCTACGATTTCAGAACTATTGTGAATACAAAAGTAATCAAAGAACAGTCCTGCCCAGAAAGAGGAGTTATCCCTAAATATGGTGTCCCTGGAACAGGTGGCTCTCCCTGCTGGACCTCTTCCACGTGGGTGCTTTCTGCAGTGACTTTGTTGCCTTGCTATTCCACTTTACCCAGTGTCCTCACCCAAGAGACAAGGGGTGTCTGCTGCTGTATCCACACTTGGAGAAAGAAACCTTGATAGTGTCAGTACATTACAAGCTGGGCATGACAGCTCACGCCTGTAATCCCAGCAATTCAGGATGCTAAGGCAAGAGGATTGCTTGAGATCAGGAATTGGAGACCAGCTTGGACAACATAGTGGGACCCTCGTCTCTAAAAAAAATAAAAATCAGTAAACGGCTGGGCCTGGTGGTGGGCGCTTGTATTTCCAGGTATTGTGGAGGCTGAGGTGGGAAGATCCCTTGAGCTCATAAATACAAGGCTGCATTGAGCTACGATCCCACCACTGGGCTCCAGCCCAGGCCAGAGTGAGGTCTTGACTCAAAAAAATACATTGTAAGCCTTTGCTCACTATGGGTTATTTATTATTTATTCAATGTGTATTTTGATTTTATTTTACTGGCAGCACAATAAACCAGGACATGCTGAAACTAGAAATCACATCCACTTTCCAGTGTTAAAAAGCCCAGTCTAGGGAGGTGAGAAGGAGACAGTCCTCATTAGCGTTGAGGATTCAGGGAGATCGAGATGGGCTGGGCAGGAAGGTTCTTACTTGGAACCTGGAGGATGAGCAATGACATTCCTCTCTCCACCTTAAAGCTCATCCTGGGCATCTGCCTCCTGGGAGCAGGAGCACTGCAAGCTCCGCCTCCCGGGTTCACGCCATTCTGGCTCAGCCTCCCGAGTAGCTGGGACAACAGGTGCCCACCACCACGCCCGGCTAATGTTTTGTATTTTTTAGTAGAGACGGGGTTTCACCATGTTAGCCAGGATGGTCTCAATCTCCTGACCTCGTGATCTGCCCACCTCGACCTCCCAAAGTCCTGGGATTACAGGCGTGAGCCACCGCACCCGGCCTCTCCTTGGGATTTCTTTACTGGACACCAGCCTGAGTCAACTTTCCTGTAAAGCAAAAGAAGCGTGAGGTTGCTAAAGGAGGAATGGTGTGATCTCCACCTTTGGCGAGATCCCTGTCACCGTGTTCAGGCGAAGGGCCAGGCCTTACTCCCCATGCAGAGAGGAGGCTATGGCCATGAAGACGCCTGTGGAGAAGTGAGGACCTGCTCCCTCTACACTGATGGCCAAGAGCCTACAGATGGCGGAGAAGGCTTCCCTTCAGCTGTGTCCTATCAGGTTCTTCCAGGAGTCAAGGAGTAGACCTGCATGTTACCTCTGGTGATGTAAGCTGCATGCACACCTAGAAGTGAGGTCACCCCTGCTGGGGGTCCTGGGGCTGCTGGTTGTTCTGGGTGCTCAGTGTCCAGAAAAGAAGATGGGGAGGAGGCTTTGTGCAAAACAGTAACCATACTCTATAAATTATTTTTTCATTAGCCTTTGTGTCATAAAATAAAATATAGGACTCCAAAAGAAAAAAATGTCTAAAATTTGTGTCCTTTAATACAAAGTAAACACCCATTAATCACCAGGGATAGATGTTTGTGGGGCAAACCAGAAGCCCCATCATTTGCTCCAGCCCAGCAATAAACTCTTTCTTCCCTCAAATAAAAACACAACCTGACTTTTACGATCATCACTTCTTTGTTTTATTTTTATTTTTATCATCCAATATTATGATTTAGTTTTACCTTTAGAAATATGCTTTTGTTTTCTTTATTCTATAGATTCTTCCTTGAAATTTATATTGTGTGGTAGAGCTTCCCATAGTGTGCATTTTGCTGATTGCTCCCCAAGGCATAGTTTAATATGTATTTCTATTATCTGTATTGCCTCTAAATTGGTAATTGGCTATGGAGATCAGCTTCTATTCAGGCTTGGTTTCTTTTTCACTTGGACTTGTTTGATGGTGCTGTATTGTGTTCTTCCATCAAGAGGAAGAACCTCACATTAGTTTTTTCTTTTATTGTGTTGTTAATTGCCATTGCTATTCAATGGCTAAATCTGTTAATTCATGATGGGTTGCAAAAGAGTTATTATAGTCTCAGTCTCTCATTCCTTCTTCATTTATTATCTGAATAATTTCTAAGTAAGAGATTCACCCTCCTCTACTGTTTGTTTACTACTAGAAACTTGGTTTTTGAGAGACTAAGCCAATCATCTACTCATCTATGATCCAGCAATAGCACTCTTAGTTCTAAACCAATAGAAATGCATGTATGTGTGTGCCAAACTATATGAAAATATTATTCATAGCAGCACGATTTGTAAAATCTGTATACAACAAAATTGTCTATCAACAGTGAAAGGACAAGAAATGTGAGTTATTTATAAAGTGGAGCATTGGACAGCCATGGGAGTGAATAGGCTACGACCACACACAGCGAGATGATGAGACCCAGGGTCATGATGGTGACTGTATAATGCCATTCAACTAGACCTGGCAGAACTCATCTGTATTAGAAATCAAGAGTGGCTACTCTAGGGTGGGGAGGGTGGTTTATGACTGAGTAGGACCCAAAGATGCCAGCAAAGTAGGCCTCTACATTAAAAAAAAAAAGAGAGAGAAAAATTAAACAGAGAAATTTAAAAGTTTATAAATAATGTTTACTTGTATTCAAGAAAATTATAGCGACAGCCGCCAGATAATGATCAGCTCTAAAAAGAGAAGCTCAAGAAGCTCATGCCACAGCAGCTGGTACAGCTGAGGAGATCAGATAAACCAGCACAAGCATGGTCATGAAAGGGAGCTGCAGACATATGGTTTCCAGAGTTTCAAAATCCATATGACTAAAATCTATGTGATGCGTATTATATGATGACTGCCTCAAGACAGACAGGTGTCCACTTAGAGACACAGAGCTGTGACTTGCAGGGGCTGGTTGATTTTCTCAGAACTCATTAACCTAAATCCATTAGTTACCATCCTGTTTCCACTCCTATCATCACCTCAGACAACCCTGCGTTTAGCTCAAGATTCTTCCCTTCATCGTAACTGAAAGTCACTAATGACTGCAATCAATTTGAAATACTATAAGTAGGTAAGATTTCCTCAGTAAGTAAATGGTCTTAGCATATTTTTGAAGTCATAACTATAATCAAAGCCTGGGACATTTATTTGCTCTAAACAAGCAGTTATTCTTCATCCAGAATTACACAATAGAAGCTCTCATTCTTGCATTTCCCAACAGTTTGCCTTAGCCAGGAAAATAAACCCCATGGGTCTCTAGCATGACCACAGTGCAAGAATAAGGGGAAGGGCAGAGGTGAGAACTAAGTGCTCTTCTACAGCTACGGGTCTATCAAGGTAATCTTGAGAGGTACTTATCAATATGTGATGTGCCAGCAACAACATGAGGGAAGATAACCACGTGTTTCTAGGATAAGGCAAAGGCCCTGCTCATGGATTCATCCGTAATCTGAACACAGCACATGAAGAGTGAACAGCTGTCAATATCTACTTTCACCTCAATGTAAACTTTCAAAATTAAGACCAAGTGGAGCACGGTGCCCTCTGAAGCACTGTCTGTCACACACTAAGGAGCTAAGAACTCCTGTGGCCTCCTTTAGAACACAGCTCTTCCAGGACACACAATGAGCAGGCCTGCTTTAGCACCCAGGGCCCACATGCAGCTGCTCTGCCCAGAGCTGCCCAGCTCCTGGACCACTCACCTCTGCTCCTGCTGGCTGGTGCCCAAGCTGTAAGGGCTGGCAAATATTTTGAGTATTGGTCCCAAAGGCCCCTGAAGGTGAAAGGATCTTGTTCTTCATTTTCATTACTTCTAAGCACTGAGACCTCTTACAAGAATCATCCACAAGCATTTACTAAGTGAATGTTCACAGGAAACCCTTCCTGAAAAGGGTCCTTCCAACTTTACATTTGACAAGTGTGTACTAAGGCAATAAAACTATTCAACTGAGCATTCAAATTCACACAGAGGATACCACGCCAAGAAAATGAAAGCAGAAATATTGGATTCTCCTTATTTGTTAAACCTTTCCCTCTAGAACCAACAGCTTTTCAAACTCATAAAACACCCCAAAACAGTAAAACAATATCAATTACTCATCTGAAGATATCCACCTGAAACACAGTTATTAATCTTCAAAGGCCTAGCACCAGGCAGCTTCACACAGCACATCTGCAGAATTGTAATGATCAATAAGAGTAAACCCAAAGTACACTAAATACTTTCATGGCCTACAGGAAAAAAAAAAAACGCTCTTTTCAGGACGATGTAATAGTTACACGCTATTTCTTCATGTGCAGCATGATATTCTATGCTTAATGGCATTTAAATGTTACACAGTAAATACTGAGAAAACCCAGAATTTTTGGATGTGCAGAAGCAATATCACATCATTAATACAAAAGGTGCTCAGCTGCGGGATTATAATACCATTGAGTGCTGAGACCACTTGAAATCTTAAGTACATTCTTAGCATATGGTCTCCTGGCTGTCACCCAGCCTGGTACCAGCTACCCACCTGTTGCATAGAGCTAGCCCCAGCACTGCCTTGGTTGGGCCGGTTGTTTTTGTCAAACTCTAAGTCTCCCTCAGAATCCCTGTACTTCTCCACTGCAATGTATTGACAGGGTTGTGACCTTGTCCTTCCCAAGGGGCTCACTCTTGGCCTCTTGCTCACACAGATCCTGCACCTTTTCCAGTCAAATCCCCATTCCAGTAGCAGCAAGGAGATCACTTCTCGTATCACTTTTTGGTGGCTGTGCAGGTTCTTGACACTTTGCCTCAGCTACTGGTGGTAGTGTGGGGGCGAATGCATGGGGAAGACAAAAAAGAAGAACTGAGCCAAGAGGCCTGGTGGGGAAAGTGTGTGGCTGGAGGAGGGAATGCTGGACCCAGGGGCCAGTGGAGGGAGGGTGAGGAGGAGGGTGTGTGGAGCCAGCTGATATGAGGAAGGAGGCGGCAGGAGGATTTGCAGAAGGCAACAAAGGCAGTTTGTACTGTAAAAGGGGGAAGAGAAGGAGGTCTTGACGGGTTGTAATATGCAAGCACCTGTGCTGGGAGCATCCTGTAGTCTCCTGGAGCCATAAGTGCACAGGATTGGAACACAGCTGGGGTAAGGCAGGGAAGTGGGGGCCGCTCTTGAGGTCCATTTAGGGCCATGTGCCTCACTGAGGCAGAGGAGGGGTGGCACTCAAGCTCAGGGGCCTGGTTTGTGGGCCCATGTGGACATGCATCTTCAGCTGCCTAGGAAGGGTCGTGAGAATGGTTTGGAGTAGCTCGATAAGAGCATCCCTAACATCCATTGTATGGGACCTGCTGTCTAGGGACAGGGGTTCTTGCAGGATGCTCCATGGTACACACTGAGACAACCTGTTGCTGGGTCTAAGCTCTTTGTCATATGCCATCATATTCCACTCATGGTGCTTGTTTCTGGCTTTTGTAATCCTTTTCACATCATAAGTGGTGCCATCTATGTGGTTTTGCTACTTTTGATGCCTTCTGTCTTTCCTTTTGTCTTCTGTGTCCTGCAGCACTTCTTCTTTCCAGAGGTCAAATAAATGGGAAGGATCAGTATAGAACTTCAGCCTGTCTTTATCATCTCCATGTGCTCTCATGCTATTCAGGGGAGGTGGTCAATCACTCTGATTGTAAATGTCAGCAGCAGGAGTAGGAATGCTGCTCTTTGAAACTGCTTGCTGGTCTTGGGCTGGGGAACTTTTGAGGGCTTTTTCCATGTTGATGTCCTGTGGTGACACCTCTTCCACTGCTGAATCCAGCTGAGTGACTTTGACCATGAGGCAACAAATTCTAAGAGAATTTGATCTAATGTGGAAGTAGTTAGCCTCCTTAAATAGCTCACCAAATATGTCTTCAGCATGTATGTTCAGATTGCTTAGCTGGTGCGTAATAGTGACAAGATTGTTGTTGGTTACACTTTCAAGTCACTGGTAATCCCTTCAGGCAGAGTTCCCTGGTGCAAATGCTGGGATTAGATGCTCCTCTTCACGGGAGGCATGGCTTATAATGTTCTAATTGACTAATGGCTTCAGAAATTTCCTCAGGAAGCATCACCACTTTGATTCAGATACCAGCAGTAACTGCAATCAAAATTAAAATGATCAGTCCCGCTGATGTAGAGGCAGAGATTGCACTGGTAGCTCCCTGATCTTACTCCACACCAGAACACACATCCCTGGGGCTAGCTAAGTTGCCTCAGGCCAGGCCAAGGCCTTGGTCACCCTATTTGTAATTTTCTCTGCAGTTATTTTGCTTTCATTTATTGAACACCTTAGATATGAGCTAAAATCCCCCACCAAATGTGGGAAACTTTCAACTATTATTTTCTCAAATATTTTTTTCTGATCCTGTGTCTTCTTTTGAGGATCCACTTGCATATCTGGTCACCTGCTTTATATTCTCTGATGGGTTCATGACGTTCTCTTCATTTTTTTCTTTAATCTTATTTCAATCTGTGTTTTGGATTTTAGAATTGAGCACATTCTGGAGATTTATATTCAAAGTCACAGGCTTGTTCTTTATTCTGCCATCTCAAAACTTCTGTGGACCTCTTCCAGAATACTTTCATTTTCTTTTTTTTCTGTTTGAGAATTTCCACTTAGTATCTTACGTGGTTTCAGCAGGGGTTTCTGGGTGTGTGTCCTGCATCTGTGTAATTTAGAGGTTGACCAAGTATTTGGGTCATTTATACTCAGATTTTGTGATTCAACTTCATTGTGGTTGCTTTGTTTCTGGAATTCTCTTTGAATTTCCAATTGTTTTGTTAGCCTCAAATCCTGCCTTTTCACCTCTCAAGCCAGTAAGATTTTTGCTTTCTTCTACTGAGCTCTGTGCAGGTTGGCAAATGCACTCAGTCCATGTTACTGAAGACTTGCAGATCTTACCAGGATCATTTATCTCTTTGGAGGGTAGACCTCCCTCTAGTTTCTTTCTGGTTTTTCACCAGATTCCCAAGTGGCCCACACCCATGCAGAGTTTAGTGTTCAACTAGGGATGAGCATAATTTGCATTCACATTGTTGATCTCAACTCTTCTGCAGCTCTCTTTCAACATTCTCATTTACATTTCTAGCTGATTTGGGCTCTGAACTCTATAAACTGCCCATATTGAGCCACTAGGGCTGCAGTTATCTGCTGGGAGGCTGAAGAGCACTCATAGGTAAGAAGGAAAGGCCACCAACTTGCAGTCCTTACCTAAGACAGAAGGAGTCTTAAACAAGAAAGCTCTTATCACATATTGCTTGCCTTTGTTAATTTTCCAGTGACTTCAAATGTTTGTTTTTAGTATTTAGTACAGTTTTCATGTTGCTGTTGGAGGAAAACTTGCTGGTCTATCTCTTCATGTTGCCATAACCAGAAGTTCTACCCTGAAAGAGACTTTTGGGAGAGAAGGTCACAGTCCACAATTCAATCTTCTGAGACAAATATGGATCCAGGCACCAGAAACTGTCAAGTTAGATTTCTAAAATTAAAATAAGATTAGAGCTGGGTGCAGTGGCTCATGTCTGTAATGCCACAACTTTGGGAGGCCAAGGTGGGTGGATTGCTTGAGCCCAGGAGTTCAAGACAAGCCTGGGTAACATGACAAAAACCCATCTCTACAAAAAACACAAAAATTAGCCAGGTGCGGTGGCACACAGCTGTAGTCCCGGCTACTTGGAAGGCTGAGGTGGGAGGATCACCTAAGCCTGGGGCGGTCGAGGCTGCAGTGAGTTGTGTTCGCACCATTGGACTCCAGCCTGGGCAAGAGAGTGAGACCATTGTTTGAAAAAATAAAGATTGAATGAATAATAAAAGAAGATTAGGCCTGGCATCTGTGACCCCAAGGTTCTATGGGAATCACTGACTTCATACAACCTACAATGATAAAGAAGGACACCCTACATATATATGACTGGCCTCTTTAGTATTGGAGAGAGCACATTCCATAGCTCATAACTTTCCGACAGTCTGTGAATCAAGTCACCAAAACTGCAGCTAAAGTTGAATGGAGGCCATGGAAGTAGTTCAGTGAAGTACAAAACAAGCACTGCTTTTGTTCTTGATTCTTTCCCCAAACAATGCACTCACATGTTTTTAATAAATTCTACAGCCGGTTGTAGCTATTGGCAATGAGACCTCCCATTATTGAGGCCCTGGTCTTTTTAACTTGAGGAATTCCAGCAAATCTAAGGAGTACAAGCTCTTTGAGAAATAACTGCATGATATTATTAAACTCTAATGAGGACAGATGATTTCACCAATGAAAAAGTATGACTTCATATCCTGCAAGGGTATTTCTCTAATCCAAAATCCTATGAGCTAGTACAAGTACAGAAACATTCCATAATAAATGGAAATGTCATTTTGATCCAGGCAAAAGTCAAGCATATCTGCCATTTGGCCCTAAATGCTTATTTGGATATTGTTGAGTGTGTGTGTGTGTGTGTGTGTGTGTGTGTGTGTGTGTGTGTGTGTTTGTGTGTGTGTTTGTGTGTGGCAGTCATAGGACTCATTGCCCAAGTTTCAGGGTTTGGGGAAAAAGTTCCATTCTTTTTCTGAATTTGAGTAATAGCTTCTGGCTTACTACTGGGCCCTGGTAGATTCTGAATTCTATGATCATGATACAGAAAATGACCAAGTGACTTGAGATGCCCATTATGACCTGAGTTTTATCGGGTCACTCATGCTCACCAGCCCTCAGTCTGCAAGGGGAAATGGTATACACAGCATCAGACTTTAGCAGGTTCCATAAGGCCAGGTAAGTTGCCTAATAATTTGTACTATACTCCTAATGTTCTTATTACCACTGGAGAGTCCACTCTCCCTTGTCTCATTATTGAGGTCTTGAGGAGTTCCCTAAGGACAACTGACTGTAGAAGGAAAAAAATTTGAGTATGCTTGGATACCCCAGAGTTAACTGTCAGGGCATTAGAGTCTCTTTCAGGAATCATCATTAAGAGTAATGGAAATAAAAATACTTCCAGTGAGAAGATGTTCAATTAGACCATCTGGAAGTGCAGTTTACCAAAAGGAGAAACGTCTTACTGTTGGGTCCTAATCAATGCACAGCAGTAGCTAGTAGTTTCCTTAGATAGTCAGTGACTTTAAAGGAATAAGATGGTAAGGTTTGTGATAAGGAGCGTTGGGGAGGAGATTTGAACCACTCACATGGCACATTTAGGTAAACATACCTACCCTCATGCTAACAAAAATGGATAGTGAAAAAATAAAACACAATGTAGAAGCATTGAGAGGCTTAAACTTTAATAAAAATTGTCAAATCCTAAATCACGGAATTGTGCATTTACTTTTTTTGCTGAGCTTATTTACTTAATGTAGGATAATTAAGGTTTAGTTTTCATGGCCTCCTAAGGCATTTGGAATAGAAGACAGAGTTCAGGTAGCACTCAGAGTGGGAAATTTAATAGAGTGTTCTCCTCATTTCACCAGGATCCCAAAGCCAGCTCCTCAGTATAAGGAAAACATCCTTGCTTGAAGGTCTCCCCAGAAAGTCACCTTGGTGCTGAGTGGAGAGGGGCAAAACCTTCTCCTGAGATTAAAGAGAAGTGGATTTGCAGCCCGAGTTCACACTCCCTGGGTGGTCTAAAAATCATCAAGGCATGAATTTATTTTAAAGTAGTGCAGACTCCAAGGAACCTTGGAAAATCAAGCAAAACTTCTCTGAAAAATTTCTACTGTCATTGGCACTCTGAAAATTCCAAAAAATCATTACACCAGCAAAAGGAGCACTTAACAGTTAAGAACAACAACAGAGAACAATGTTCATAAGAGACAAAGCACCGTGAAAGAACAAGAAAATACAACAGACAGCAGAATCATACAATCATATAACTGAGAAATCAGAATAATTGTATAGGATATAAAATTGCTAAATGGGCTATGATTAAAGAACAGATTGTTAAATACATTTAGTGACTATAAAACTATAAATAATCTTCAGAAAAATTTGAAGAGACAAACACATAACACTTAAGCATGAAAATATAATAATAAAATTTAAATCTCAATGAATTTTGAAGACAAACAATTTAACACAAACACACCTAGTAAAGTACAAGAAGTTCTAAAGAATGTACTTTAGTCACAAAAAGATATCCCAGGTAGAAAGTATGAGGTGAAAGAAAAAAACAAACAAAAAATAAAGGTAAATGGATGGTTAAATATAAATTGAGGTTTAAAAGGATAGTGTATATATTGAGAATCTATAAATATTGTTAAATGAAATACAAATTATTTTATCTTTTTCCAGGTCTAATGTTGGATTTCTTTTCTTCATATTCTGATTAAAATTTCAAGATAAACTTCTCACTCATAATGTGTCCCATTCTGGTTTTGTTTTGTACATTTCAGTATAATGCATATAAAAGAATATTCTGCGGGTCTTTTTATGGTATCTTTCCAAGCTATTGTTGGATTGTCCAGTACTTCACGTTCTCCAACCTTGTAAGTAATGAATGTACAAGTTCAACTGTACATTTTTACTAGTGGGCAGTTTTCCACAATATGAATGCCATTCATGTAGTTGGCGGGACCTGCCAGTGTATCTTTCAGAACCACGGACAGATCTACATGTTCTGGGATGTAGGGAGCTAGAGTGCTCTCTCAACTGGATGCAATGGAATGCCAGGGAGGAAAGTTTAAGATAAACTCTAGTCACCACGGAATTGTGATTTTTAAGCATAGTAAGCATAGTCTGAAATACCACATTCTTTCCAACCCCTCTCTGCACCCAATACGTCATTAGCCCTGTATTTTATACTCACTGTCATAAAAGAACCTGTTGGGGAAGGGGAGGTAGCTTTAGGTCAGTCTTGGTACAATCATACAGTGGCTAAATTAGTAGATCTAGTGTAAAATGGCCTGGAACTGAATTCTAGCCTCATATCTTCAAAATTATGGAACTTTGGGCAAGTAACTTAACATCTCTGTACCTAATTTTCTTGAACAAGTTACAGTTTACAGATTTCATTTATTTATTGTGGATAATAACATCCTTCTCATATGGTTGTGATAAATATTGAACAAAATAATCCATGTAGGTACAAAAACCAGTGCCTGAAATATAGCAAGAGCCTTTTAAATGCAGCCATTATTGTTATTATGGTTATTCTTATTGTCGTTTTTCACAGAATACCTTCTGGTTCCCACACAGGATCTCTGAGGACCTGTTGGATCAGCAGCTCTTTTGTAAGATTCGTTGATATTGTGAAAATTCTCTAATCACAGCCCAGCTACAATTTTACAGAAGTTCCCAATACCTTATCTGAAGGTTTCTTACAGTCAGATTATGAGTCTTGGTTGAAGGCATCTTCTGGAGTCATGGTAACACTCCGGGTATTCTGGGAAAACAGTGATTTCAAAATACAGTTTGTCTTGTTGAGACTAGGAATTTGGAAAATTCCAGTCTGTGAAGTGAAGGGAGAGGAGATACTTCCTTAGCAGGAGGAAGAGAATGTACCAAGTACAGGGCAGTTAAAGAAATGTTTGTTTGATTTTTTTGCCAGTGGTTATATCTGTGGTTTCATTAGTTAAATGCCTTATGTGGTACATTCTTCCCAATAAGTATTTTTAAAAGCCTCTGAAAGGAAGGAGCTCTTGCTACCACCATCCTCTCAGTCAAGTGGGAATAATCTGGTGAGCATAGCAGATGCCAATCAGTTCATAAAAAGCTCAATCTTCAAGTTTGCAGAATTAATTCTAAAAACGAGAAGAGTATTGGACATAGAATTTGACATATATGTTGCATGCAGAAGCTGATATTTTAGCTTTATAGTTTACAGGTCCCTCAGAATGTTTTATACTTTTTTATCATAACTGGGAAGCTGTCACTTTAATCTTTGAGTAGGACTAAGGTATGAAAAGAGCAATGATGGTGTGCTCAATGGCTATATTACTAAACACAAGAATGTTTTCAGCTCGATCTACCTGAGCTACATGGAGATTTGATAACTAAATATAAAGTGAATGGAGATAAATGCCTTACTTACCTTCTGCAGATGACACCTTCTAGTTAGCAAGTGGCAGATCCAGGACTACTGGGCTAGGAAGCTGCTTGGGCTGGAGTACAAGGGCAGTTTCAGGGATAGAGAAATTAACAGGCAGAGAGGGAATCTCTGAGACTAGGAAAGACTAACTGCAGCTGGGCCTAGATGATCTGAGATCCAAATGTAGCTGTTGATCTTAAATTATATAAAGTAGCAATGGAACTGTCAGTCAGTCAGCATGTCTAGCTAGTCAGACAGATCAGGAGTTTAATCACTGACGTTATGGGAAATCAGAAAACTCTGGGATGGCTGGGAGAATATGTGCGTATAGACGTCTGTAGAGTGGGTGACAAATAAATGAAACCACCTAAATATTTACCCCAGGGGAGTAGGTGCATATAACATACTATGGAACAGCATTAAAATGATGAGTTAAACCATTTTTTCTGTGAAATTCAAAGGATGTTCATGATATAATAGAAATAAAAATATCAAATGATAGGGCACTGTGAATACAATGTAATTTTTCAAAAGCTACAATGAGCAATAAGATGAAATAAAAGTCATCTAGATTAAAAAACAAGAGGTAAAACTATCTCAATTGCAGATGATAAAATCTTATATAGAAATACGAAAGAATTCACTAAAAACGAGTTTAGCAACTACTAAACCACTAATACTAAATGAGTTTAGCACATTGGTAGGCTACAAGATCAAAATACAAAAATTGAGTGTGCTTCTATAGAGTATCAATGCAGTAATACAAATGTTATTAAAAAATCCAACTTACAACAGCATTAAAAAGAATGAAGTCAGAACAAAATTGAGGGCCCAGCAATACTCTTCACTTATATGGTTAATTGGTTTTAGAAAACAGTGCTAATATAATTCAGTGAGGGGAAGAAATTATCTTTTCATCAAATAGTGCAGAGACAACAGGCTATCCCTATGCAAAAGAATAAAGCTGGATCCCTACTTCACACCACATATAAAAATTACCTCAAAGTGTATCAAAGACCTAAATGTGAGACTTAACATTAGAGAACTCTTAGAAGAAAACATAAGCATAAATCTTCATGACTTTGGATTAGGTAAAAATACCTGATCTTAAATGATACCAAAGGCACAAGCAAAAAGAGGAAATAAAAGATAAATTGAACATCATCAAAATTAAAAATGTGTGAGTCTAAGGACATCATCAAGAAAGTGAAAAGAAACTCATTGAATGGGAGAAAAGTTTTGCAAATCTTATATCTGGCAAGGAAAGGACTTGTATCTAGAATATATAAAGAATGGTTGTAACTCAATATAATAATATTAATAATAAGATAATAATAAACAATAAATAATAAAATAATAATAATAAGACAAATAATATACAAAAGGCCCATAAGCACATAGAAACATGTTCAACATCATTAACCATCAGGGAAATGCACATCAACCCAAAAATGAGATACTATTTCCCACCCACTAGAATGGCTATAATTAAAAAGATAATAATTAGTGTTGATGAGAATGTGAAGATACTAGAACACTCACACTTTGCTGGTGGGGATTTAAGAGACATAGCCCCTTTAGAAAGCAGGCTCTCAGTAGCTCAAATTGTTGAACATTAAGTTATTACATGACCCAGCAATCCCCTCCTATGTATACAGTATACCCAAGAGAAATGAAAACATAAGTTCACATAAAAACCTATATGCCATGTTTATAGCAGCATTATTAATCACAATCCAAATGAGAAGGACCAAAATGTCACCAACTAATAAATAAATTGTGATATATCCATACAATGGAATGTAATTCAGCGATGAAAAAGATGTGAAGTACTGATACAAGCTACGACCCACACAAACTTTGAAAATGTTCTGGTAAGTAAAAGAAGGCGACACAAAAGGCCACATGATGTATAATTTCATTACATAAAATGTTCAGAATAGGTAAATCTGTAGAGTTAAAACATAGGTTGGTAGTTTCTTAGGGCTGGGGTTTGGATATGGATTTTTCTGCAGGGCTGGGAGGAGATAAAAGGATCTGTAATTGATTGTGGTAATGGAGGCACAACTGTGAATATTCTAAAAGCCACTGAATTGTATATTTTGAATGTGCAGATTTTATACTATTTAAATTATATCTCAAGTTGCCCTGAAAATGATTAAATTACATATAAAACTTATAGTCATTACAGCTCAACAAAAGCTACCAGATAAAAACACTCACTATGGTTTGCGTGCAAGTGAAGAAAGTAGACATGCAGAGAGTAGGCTGATACAATAGTAATCACCTTAGTTAAGTGGGTTTGGATTTAGTGAAAGGAGAGATTTAAAAGTATATTTATGCATAATTTGATTGTTTCATTTCCTACTGTGAGCAAGAATTATTTTTACACTAAAATTTAAAAAATAGAAAGTTACAAATCTTGAAAGCTCTGCAGTCAAATAAACATAGTAACAAGTGATAATGAGCTGTCTGGAATGTCTTCCTAGAGAACTGGCTGAAGCACATGCATGCAAAAGGAAGGCAATGGCTGAAGAATCAAGGCAGAACTACAGTGGTAGAAGAGAAGAAAAATGTAAACATGGAGATATAAGACAAGAAGACGACTGATGAAGGAAGTGGACATGAATACTGTGAAAACCTCTTGGGGAGTCAGAAATGACCGGGTCTACGTGGGAGGGAAACTGGATTACAGCCCAAGATGGCCAGCCATCAGGGACAGTGTCCCGAATCAGAAGGGCTGTCTAATCATTCCCTTTCTTCTCCTTCCAACACCCCAGCAAGATTATTGCCTAATTTACAGCCATGCACGTTGAAGAATCAGTACAATTTGGAGACTTTGAGACAACAGACAGAAAATTTTTGAGCTCCTCTGGGCATTAGTGAGCTGTTTTCAGAAAAACAGACTCACTCTGGTATTTCAGGAATAAATAGAAATAAGAGCATACACTAATGTTTGGAAACCACGGGTAGCAAATATTGGTGAAGTCATGTGACAGGCAGAATAACAGTCTCCTAAATATGCCTGTGTCCTAATCCCTGGAACTTATAAAAATGTCTCCTAATAGGGCAAAAGGAAATTTTCAGATGTGATTAAGCTGAGGCTCTTGAGATGGGAAGATTATCCTGGATTATCTGGGCAGGTTCGATGTAATCACAATAGTCCTTATAAGTGAAAGGAGTAGAAAGCAGCATCAGAGTTAGAGCTGTGACAACAGAATCAGAGGTCAAAGTGATGTGACTGCTGACTTGGAAGATGGAGGAAGAGACCACAAGCCAAAGAATGCAGGCAGCCCCAAGAAGCTGGAAAGGGTGAGGAAACAGATTTTCCTTTAGAGCCTCAGAAGAAATGCAGCTCTGACAACATGTTAATTTTAGCCCATAGTGACACATTTTTGACTTCTTACCTCCAGAACTATAAGAGAATACATTGGTGTTGTTTTAAGCCACATAGTTGTGGTAATTTGTTATAGCAGCAGCAGGATACTATAATAATACCAGTCACCATTGGAGCTCCTGGAAGCTGCAGTAGGGAGGTCAGGGAAGCATATACTGAAGACTTCAGCTTGAAGCATGGATGGGAGGTTCTCAGAATCCTGCTGCGAGATTGCTATATTCTCCAGAACCTATGAGAAAGCTCTTATCACTCATCTTAGTCCACACAAGCAAAGCAGGTGGGTCTCTAGCCTAGCAGGGAAGCCACTGAGAACCTGACATCTGCCTGCTCCTCTACCTGCAGCCACCACTGATGGGTACAGGTCTGTCCCACCATCTCTCCAGGGCCCCATTTCTTAGGCAAGTCTCTCTCACTGGAAAATGTAAACTGGAACTATACAGGGAAGGGGATCCTGGGAGATATAGTGCCTGGCTTCTCCTCTGCAGAGAAGATGCTAGAGGGGAGATGAGGTGATACTGGGTTTTTAACAATGCAACACATGAGTTACTAACAGTGAATGAAGGGGGACTGGCTGACCTCAGTTTGACAAGCAAATGTGCCATTAGATGATGCAAACCATTGGTATATCTATGAGATTTAGTAGTTTTAGCAAGCTATTTATTGGAGCAAGGATGTATCAAAAACTATGAAAAGTGCAGGTTTAAAAAATGTACAAAAAATTTAATGGACTACACAAATGAAATAAATTCTTTTTTTAATTATACTTTTAAGTTCTGGGATATATGTGCAGAATGTACAGGTTGGTTATATAGGTACACATGTGCCATAGTGGTTTGCTGCATCCATCAACCCATCATCTAGGTTTTAAGCCCCGCATGCATTAGGTATTTCTCCTAATGGTATCCCTCCCCTTGCCCCCATCCCCTGACAGACCCCAGTATGTGATGTTTCCCTCCTTGTGTCCACATGTTCTCATTGTTCAACTCCTGCTTGTAAGTGAGAACATGCGGTGTTTGGTTTTCTGTTTCTGTGTTAGTTTGCTAAGAATGATTGTTTCCAGCTTCATCCATGTCTCTGCAAAGCACATGAACTCATTCTTTTTTATGGCTGCATAACATTCCATGGTGTATATGTGCCACATTTTCTTTATCCAGTCTATCATTGATGGGCATTTGGATTGGTTCCAAGTCTTTGCTATTGCAAATAGTGCTGCAGTGAACATATGTGTGCATGTGTCTTTATAGTAGAATGATTTATAATCCTTTGGGTATATGCCCAGTAATGGGATAAATAAATTCTTAACTATGCTGCTATTTTATTTATTTAAAAATGTGAGTTCGTGGTCTGAGTAATTTACCTCAGTATGACTCAAGAAGGGCACTGGAAGTCCGTTGATCTGGCCAGAACAGAACCACATATATGAATGGAAAAAGTGGTCTTGTGTCTGCCAATCCCAGGGGCTTACAGGATGCTGTCTAGAATAGGCTGGCTACGGCAACTCCTAGTTAAGCCAGAAGTTTGGAATGAGTTCAATTTTGGGGGATTAAATTCTAATGAGAGGCAGAAAACAGGAAAGTTTATGCTTTTCCATGCTAATCAATGGCCCCATAAACATTTTCTTGTATATATTTTTGTAATTTCAAAAAACTCAAGTGTTTTATCAGTAATTTCTTAGAGGTGCACACAGAGAGAGATGAGTATAATTGTGAAGCTAAGTTTTGTAAAGCACAGGGATGGCTAAGAATGGGAAGGAACTGATCCCAGAATCCCACAGAGTTAACCAGTAACCCTCAGCCCAAGTACGTGATGACCACTGTTGAGCTTCAAAGGAAAAGCGGCCATCTGAGGAGCAAACAGAATTGCATGAAGAATAAGAGTGCAGACGGTGTCCTAAATACAGTGCTGAGATTCATGTAGAAGCACAGGAGGAAGCAACTGTGTAAGTATCCAGAGTCCTATGAAGTAGGGATTTCAATCCTCCAAGCCACCCTCTCCCATCTGCTAACAAGGATCAAGGCTTTTGTGGATGTAACTGGCTGTGGTTGATGGGAACCCCTGTGATCCCTATGGGGTTACACATAGCTTCGGAGAGGGGAATGAACACACACACAGCAAAGGGAAACCATCTGGGCCTTTACTGAAACCACTGGCTGACCCCTGGGTTAAAGTATGTATGTTCTGAGTACTGATGTTAATTACATACAGACATTGCTCAGACCCCATGTCACCTCACACTGCTGGAAATTTGCCTTGACCTCGACTCTCACCAATGACCTTATGGGTAGTTTCTATGACCAGCTGACTTAAGAGGAAAATTCTGAGCTTCTTCATAAACATGCCAGCTTAGTGTGTTGGTGTGAGGCAGCAGTAGAGTGTGTCTGCAGTGTGGGCAACTCAGGAATGAGCAGAGACAGTGCTGAAGAGGGTCCTGCCAATAGGCAGGTGGGGCTCTGATTTGCCCACTTTGTGTAGACAGAAGTGGCCTGAGGTGAGAACATGCACAGACTCATAGGCAACGGCAAATGGCTTAAATAGCGGGTCCGGGGCCTGGAAGGAGCAAGATAGGAAGATCAGGAACAGGAATATCTGGAAAGAGGCATACAGTAGATACAAAGTGCTTGGATCTTTTGTATCAGATGTTAATACTCAGCAAAAATTACCCTCTATACAAGTAGTCTAAACAACCAGGTGTACAGGATGAATCATTTGGTACACATCAGCCAGCCTCTGTCCTTAACCATCCCAGTGCTCATGAAACAGGCTCTTGAAAGCAGTATCTATGGTGGAAGAGATGCACTGTGGGTGGGTCCCAAGGCTTGGGCTCCCTTCAGCATGGCTGACGTGGTTATTGTCACAACCTACCTTCCAACGATAAATAAACTCCAACAGATTACCTTTGCTTATAGAGGCCAATGAGCAATTTGATGGCAAATTGATTCTACTCTTACTTTTTCACAATGAAAAAGGCAGGGGTTCTGTCAGATTTAGCTTGCCTTGTATTAGCGGTATGAGTTTGTTCTTTCTTCCCATAGTGCCACACTCAGAAACGTTATCTAAGGGCTCACATATGTATGATCTTCTAATAGGGGAACCACATAACATTGCCCCAGACTAAGGGACCTACTTTATAGCGAACGCTGTCTGGTAGTGGGCACACGACCATGAGATCTCCTGGTTCTACCCCATACTGCATCACACACGCTGCCAGCTGATAGAGCAGTGGAATGGTCTCTTGAGGGTGCAGCTGGGTTTTATCTTGAAGATCACATCCTATCAGGATGGGTAATGTCCTTCAGGATGAAGCATACACTTAGGCTATGGCAGCAGCTGTTACATAGTGCCAAGTCTCCAACAGGTAGAGTAAGTAAGTCTCTAACCACCAGTGCTGGAAGAAGGAATGACTATACTCACCAGCACTTCCGGTAACCCGCGTGGGGTGTTGGTGCTTCCCATCCCCTCAACGTACTCAGCTGGTCTAGGAGTTTGGGATCCCAGAGAAGGAAGTTCCTACCATGGAACAGAGTACAAGTTACATTACGTTTAGGGGTATGTTTGTTACCTGTTCAATTTGGGTTCCTCATGCTAGGAGGCTGTTGGGAAAAGGAGGGGTTACTGTATAAGCAGGGATAATTGATCGTGATTATTATGAGGAGCAGAACTTTAATTTCTGTCTTAATTTCTTGCTGAAACTGGTAACAGTGGTTGCATCCAGGCAAGGAATTTGGAAGAATTGTGGATGGGGTGGAGAACGAAATTTGCTTTGCACACTATACACATTTTTATTATTATAATCTTTTAAATATTGTTCTTGTATTAGCTATACAAAATAAATTTTAAATTACGAATCAACCCCACATTTATCTAAAAAATTTTTTTATTTCAATAGTTTTTGGGGGACAGGTAGTTTTTGGTTATGTGTGTGAGTTCTTTAGTAGTGAATTCTGAGATTTTGGTGCACCATCACCCGAGCAGTGTACTCTACCCAGTGTTGACTTTTATCCCTCACCCTATTCCCAACCTCCACCAACAAGCCCCTAGAGTCCATTATGTCATTTTGTATGTTTTTGTGTCCTCATAGCTTAGCTCTCATTTATAAGTGAGAACATTCAGTATTTGGTTTTTCCATTCCTGAGTTACTCCACTTAGGATAATGGCCTCCAGCTCCATCCAAGTTGCTACATAAGGCATTATTTCATTCCTTTTTATGGCTGAGTAGTAATCCATGGTGTACATACACCACACTTTCTTTAGCCACTGGTTGGTCAATGAGCACTTAGGCTGGTTCCACATCCCTGCAATTATGAATTGTGTTGCTATAAACATGTGTGTGCATGTGTCTTTTTCATATAATGACTTATTTTCCTTTGGGTAGATACCCAGTAGTGGGATTGCTGGATCAAATGATAGATCTAGTTTTAGTTCTTTAAGGAATCTCCATACTGTTTTCCATAGTAGTTGTACTAATTTACATTCTCACAACCAGCAGTGTAATCCATCCATGCCAACATCTATTGTTTTTTGACTTTTTAATTAATGCCATTTTTTTTTTTTTGAGACAGAATCTCACTCTGTCTCCCAGGCTGGAGTGCAGTGGTATGATCTTGGTTCCCTGCAACCTCCACCTCCCAGGTTCCAGCAATTCTCCTGCCTCAGCCTCCCGAGTAGCTGGGACTACAGGTGCATGCCACCACGCCCAGATAATTTTTTGTATTTCTGGTAGAGACAGGGTTTCACCGTGTTAGCCAGGATGGTTTCGATCTCCTGATCTCGTGATCTGCCTGCTTTGGCCTCCCAAAGTGCTGGGATTACAGACTTGAGCCACCGCGCCCAGCCAAATTAATGCCATTCTTGCATGTATAACGTGGTATCTCATGGTGAACCTCACATTTATCTAGCAAACATTTATTAGGCAGTTACTATGTGTCAGGGTCTCCTAGGCCTCAATGAGTGAAACATCAAAGATTCCACAAGGGGACTAAAAAAACAGCTAAATGCAGGCTACTATAATTAGTGCGGGAAAACTGCTTCCAAGAGGATGCAATGTCTAAACAGAGAACTGGATGAGGAACACAGTTAATCCAGGTGAATGGCAGGAGAAATCTTTTAGGGAATCAGTATCACAAACAAAGGCTCAGAAGAAAGAACACACAGGGAGTCTGGGGGAACTGTCAGCAGTTCAGGGTAGAGATTAGAGAAAGAGGAGCACAGGGGCAAAAAGCAAGCTTGGAGCAGTGAGCAGATTCAATGACTAAGGCTTGTGGGGTTGGGGAGAACCTTTGGCTTTTATCCGAGGACAATGTGCAGCACTGGCAGCACTGAAGTCAGGAAGAACCTTGATCAGATCTGCATTCCAGAATATCACTTTGGTGAAGTGTGAAGAATGACCTGAGAGATGCTAGACTGAATACATGGAGAAGAAGAGGTTCGGGGAAACCCTGGCGGGAACTGTAGGGAGAATGTTAGGATGGAGGAAAAGGTAGAAAGGACCCTGAGAGATCTGAGTAATCAAGACCCAGTGTTTCACACATGGAAAATGAGGTGGAAAAGGAGAAAGGTCCCCATGTGAACAGCACTCCATCTGGAAAAATGACATAAAACAAGGGAATTTGGCCCATGACATAAGAGGTCCTTGGGCTCACATGGTATTGAGTGATCAGGGAGGAGTTTAGTTGAGTTCACCTCTACAGACAGGTATTGAGTGCCAGGTATGCTGTCATCAGGGTCATAAGGAAATCAAAGGTATCTGCCTCATATCTTTGTGACTTACATGTCTGATCCTGCTTAAGAACTATGCCAATCCCCGACTTTCTAGGACCCCCAGTAATTTTGTCGTGTCCATGTGGGAAGTGAGCTGAGGCTTGGCAAGAGGATCTTAGCCCATATGGTCCAAAAAATAGTAGAAATATTTCTTTAGAAGACACAAATTCCCTAATTAAATGGACTAATTTATCCATACAAGAGAAATAAAATCACTAAAAAATAAACTGAGTGAAGGAAAAGAAATCAATAAAGTGTAATTACCAGAAGTTCGTGGGATTCTGCATGAAAACAAGCTTGAAGAAATAGTGAAAGCAGAAGATTTGCCTAACAGTATGACACTCGAATGAAAAAAAAACCAGATAGGTTTAGTGGTGTTGCTTCTTTACAGATGCAGGAGGTTTGAAAAGTAATAGAGAAAAACATTTGGAGAGAACGCCATCTTAGCTTTCACACAGAATGCAAGACCAGCCTTTCCAGTGGGCGTCTCTTGATTTTTGTTTCCAGGGATTCGATTTCATAAACACAGCTCAGCTCTGCAGATCATCTGGCCCAGTCCAGGACCCGGGTTTGTAATGATCTTGTTCAGTCATGGTCCAGCCTGTGTATAGAGACCCTAAGATGATGCCCGGTGATCCTGTCTCTTGGCATCTCATCCAGCTGAGAACCGATGGGGCCTAAACTTGCTTCTAACCAATAGAAAGTGACAAAAATGATGTCACTTCCGTGATGAGGTCATATTACAGCCGCACTTCTGTATTACTAGATGACTCTGTCTTCTACCTTCTTTGTTTGCAAGTTTTGATGAAGCAGAAAGGCCCATGTGGCAAGGAACTGAAGTCAGCCTCTGGCCACCAGCCAGTAAGGAACTGAGGCTGTCAGTCTAACAGGCATGGAGGAATGAATCCTGCCAACAATTGCTTGAGCTTGGAAGTGGATCCTTCCCCAGTTCAGCCTCCAGATAAGACCCAGCCATGGCACTCTGATGAAAATCATGTGAGAAAGCTGCATAGCTGTGTCTGGATTCCTGACCCATAGAAATGTGGGATAATACATGTGTGTTGTTGTAAGCTGCTAAGTTTGTGGCAATTTCTTACATAGCAATGGATAGCTGAAAACACCTCCCACAGCTTTCACTGAGTTAAGCGACCCTTGGGGCCAGTTAGAACTTATCTCATCCCCTTCCCTGTGGCAGCCCTTATCTTTCTCATAGGTTGACATCCCACTTTCTCTTTACCAGTGTGAATGTCAAGTTCTCTTACTATCTCCGTCACTCTCCTCTCACACCATCCAGGAGGCCCCACTAGGGAGTGGCAGGCAGAGAGGAGGAAGTGTGGGGTGTGGGTAGACTCCTCCTCATGGTTCAACCTTGAGTGCAGGTATTACCAGTTGGAAGAAGAGAGGTCAGGAACCAGTAGGGATTGGATGGAGATGAGTGAACACCCCACCACTCTCAGGCCCATGCAGGCTGTGAAATAAAACCGTGATGAATAGACTCTGCATGGCCCCTGCTGGTCTTTACCCTTCAGCATTCTAGATAGTGCACCTCATATGCCATGATGCAAACACCATTGACTCCCTCCAGGGCAGATATAAATCTCCCTTTCCCCCGCATCCAGCAAGCACACTCCATCAGCCTATGGGTCACTTCAACCCCATGACTCCCCAGTCGGGACTGTGGCAAATGCAATAGACTTCAGTCCAGTCTCTGTGCCTGGAGAAGAAAGGGAAGCTGGTCAGAGCCCACAGGAGGAGGTGACCCACAGGGAGCCAGTAGTAGGTGGGTGTGAGGGTGAGTATGACAGAGCAGTTACTTGGGCTCAGCAGTCAGACTGTCTCCTTAGAGTCATGAGTCAGCCCATTGACAGTTACTAAACTTCCTAGTGACCTCAGTTTCCTTGTCTGTAAAATGGGGCTGATAGCTGTCTCTAGGTCATAGGGCTCTTGTGAGGTTTAAATGATTTAATTCATGTAAATCCCTTAGGAACGTGACTGACACTTTTTTTAAGGTACAATTCTGTAAAAGAGTGGGACCCATCCATTTAGGTCCTGTTTCCTTATTCCAGGTGTGATGAAACCAGCTCTCCCCAACACTTATCCTGACCCCCGTTCTATGCCTGCAGGTGGAGCGCTGTTCTGTCCCCTACAACCTATGGTGTGGGGGGCAACCAGGAAAAGGCCAGGGTGGTGCCAAGTATGAGGAAGTCACAGAGTAACACACACACATACACACATACATACCCATACCTGCTTATATACATAAATATGTACAGATACATACATATACGCACTTATAAACACGCACATACACATAGATGCCCATACCTGTTTATACATCCACATGTGCACAGACAGACACACACACATTACACAGTCCCAATTCCTTGATTCAGTTTGGGGCCTGGGTAATTCCAGTTCAATCTCTTTTAAGAAATTTAAGAATCTGAAAGAGAAAGACCTGAGAATTTTTGTCCCACAAGAGACAGACCCACTTCCCAGGCACTGTGGGACTTTCTGAGCCCCATGTGGCCCTGCTCCTGGAAGCTCATGGAGGAGCGGGAAAATCTGACTTAACATCAAGGTTCTGAAGTCCAGAGGCAGCCCTAGGAACTGGCCTTCCCTGGGTACCAGGCCTCCGGGAGTCCAGCAGGTCCCCTTCCTCCTATCTCACTTATGACGTCTCAGCCTGCCTTCCACAGCCAAGGGCCCCTCCCAGGCTTTGCTGCACAGCAGGAATCTCCACGGGGCTCTAGAAGGAACAGGGACAGAGTTTAACTTAACCCCCTCGGGTGATGCACCCTCAGGTCCAGTTTTTTGGTTCTAACATTGGTGATACCACTTTTCAGTCTTAAAATGTCTTTTTTGGCCAGGCGCGGTGGCTCACGCCTGTAATCCCAGCACTCTGGGAGGCCGAGGCGGGCGGATCATGAGGTCAGGAGATCGAGACCATCCTGGCTAACACAGTGAAACCCCGTCTCTACTAAAAATACAAAAAATTAGCCGGGCGTAGTGGCGGGCGCCTGTAGTCCCAGCTACTCGGGAGGCTGAGGCAGGAGAATGGCGTGAACCTGGGAGGCGGAGCTTGCAGTGAGCTGAGATCGCGCCACTGCACTCCAGCCTGGGTGACAGAGAGAGACTCCGTCTCAAAAAAAAAAAAAAAAAAAAAAAAAAAAAGTCTGTTTCTTTTCTGATTTGCAAAAAGGTTTATAACTTTTGATACTCACATCTGCTACTTTCTATTAGAACCTAGCAGTCCTTCGTGGTACTTTCATCTACTGTGTCTCTGCCGATTCCGTTTCCTGGTGTTTTATCTTCTGGTTGGGTTAAAGATTATATGTAATTGTTGGGCACAGAGGGCCAGGAAAGAAAAAGATTCCCGGTGAAGCTGGACCCAAGTACATCACTGTTGACAAGGGTAACTACTGTCCTTTCCTATTTACCTCCCTGCACTCCTTCTTCTCTGTCCTCCCTCCCCACCCACCCATGGGAGAGCCTCAGGAGCCTGGGCCAGAATCCCCAACCCCGCAGTAGGGAGGAGGAGGAGGAGGCGGCGACGGAGGAGGAGAAGGAGGAGGAGGAGGAGACGGAGACTGTTCGGTCTCCTCTTTCCTCAAATATGGATGCCTCCAAGGAACATAATTCCAGCTCCAAGAGGTCCTGACGTGGGGCCTGGAGGACCCCAGTACCTGCCGGCAGCATCATCTCCTTGCCATGCTCCAGGTGTCTGAGCAGCCACCTAGTGCAGTGACCCATCGGGGCTTCCCTTGTGGCCTCCGCGGTCCAGAACCTCTCCCAGGTGTGATGGATCCTCCAAGCCGCTCTTTGAGCCGCTGTCCAGGTCTGCAGGTCCTCGTTCAGGGACATGAAATCTCCTTGTCGTAGGCGGACTTAAAGTGTCCTTCGAGGAAGCTCCTGTCCGGAGCCACCACCCAGCCAGACAGCAGCATCTGCAGGTGCGGTGCCCTGGACCTGCCCCAGGGTGAGCCGGAGGCGGGGCCAGGGAGGGGAGGGAGGTCGCCCCGCCCACCCCAGCTCCTTCCTCCCTCTGTCATTGGTCACAGAACAAGTCAGTCATGATCCAGATTGAAGGAGAAACCTGGAGCAAAATGGCCCCAGCGCTTCCCCACCTGAGAGGGATCAGCTGAGGCCCCGCCCCCCCATCCCTGGGAGAACCGGGCTGGTCACTCTGGGGTCGGGGCGGGGCACACCTGTGCCCGGAATCTGAGGTCACTCACCGGCTGACCCTGGTGGTGGTGCGGGCCCAGGAACCTCAGGCCCCTCAGTAACACATTCCCTGCGGTCTTCGAGAACTTTCCTCAGGGCGCCCACAGCCCTGTGCCATCTTCTCCACCCGCGCTTCACGCTCTGATTCTCGCCGCGGCTGTGGAAGCTCAGGAATCGCGTGTCGCCCACGAAGGCGCCGCGGAGGAACTCAGGGCCCACGTGGTGAAGGCGGAGCCCGGCGGCCTTCAAGTACCCGGGGTGCGGGCCTGGGCTCCGGGAACCCGCACATTGCGGGCGGAAGAGGCGCAGGGTGCCTGGGACCCCGCCCCGCTCCCCTCTCTCCTGGACGCCGTCGCCCTGCCTCCCCGCGGGGACACAGCCTCCCTCCCACGTCCCGCCCGGCACCGGAGCCGCTCACTTGGGAGCTTCTTACTGTGTGGGGGGAGCTGGGGAGGGGACAGAGGGACGGGAACCAGGGGAGGGTGGCTTGGGGCGGCGGCTCTGGGAGAAGTGACCTGAGGAGTCTGCAGATCCCAGCCCGGGACGGAGGCGCCGCGAGAGGAGCTACTAAGCCCTCCAAGCCGCCCTTTCCCTCTTGCCTCCCCAGCCCAGTTCATCCTGATCTTCTCACCAGCCCAGTTCTCCCCAAGGTCAGGGCCCACAGAGGAACAGGAAGGGGGTTCCGGGACACAGGATCCGGCTTCTCTGGGTATCTTGGAGTCCAGGAAGGATCCTGGAGATCTCCCACTTTATGAAGCTCATCCTCCACTGACTCTGATGGCTTCTCTAGAACCCGAGACCAACTGATAAAGGCGTCCCATCTGGACGCCCTTATCAGTCCTGGGGGAAAAACAAGAGCCAAGGGTGAGAGGTGGCCATGAGGTCAGGGAAACCCCTGCAGAATTCTCAGGAGAGGGAAATCTTCAGAGCTGTGGCTTTGGCTTAGTTTGTCTTCCCACCAGCCACCTGTCCTAGAGCTGGAGATGCTTAAGTTTAAACCAGAGACTTTGGATATTTTCCCTGAGTGACATAATCCTTGTCTTTCTCTCCTGGAATCGTGGGTCCAGACCATCACAGTGATCCAGTCGGCCCCCTCTCCTTCTTCTCTCACTCCAATCTCTCTCCCTGAGCTGGACTCTCCGCCCACCCTCACATTCTGGAAAAGTGCAGTGGTGTGAGCATGGCCCTGGGGCAGAATTGTCTGGGTGCAAACCCGGCTCCATCCCTACTTTTGTGTGATCTTCATTCCTATGGCATTAACTATGAAAGGGAAAAATAACAGGCACAAGCCATGGATGTGTAGTCAGAATAAAATGAATTGGCATTTTTAAAGTGCGAAGACCACTATTTGACACATAGCACAATAAAAGTGTAAAATGTTATCATTCTTGTCATTTCTTTAGGCCCTTTTTCTTGAGGTCTTCCTCTTCTCTTTGGGTTCCCATGAAAATTTACCCTGTTGGAAGTTGATGTCAGCAAGAGACCTCCTCTTGGGAAATGCTGGCTCAGTGTGGGGCCTCCCTTTTAGTAAAGGGAAAAACCGATGGTGGACCAGTAGCTAGTGAGTCAGAGTCCATTTTATTTAAACAAGATCACCTACCTAGAATTAACTCCATTTTGATAAGGACATGCATCTCACAGATAAGCCCAGTGTAATTTATGAGGAGATTGCTTTATTTGTGTAGAACTTACTCTAGTGCTTTTCATAGTCTTGCAACACATTTTGAATCCCTGGTTCTCATTTCACACTGACTGCCTCACAGAGTGAAGACGATGAGAAGTATCTTCATACTATATTCCCACGTTCGTCTATCGGAGTCACAGTCATATATTACATATGCAGATATTTTTCCTAGAAGTTTGAATTTATTGATGTAGATTTTAATCTGGAATAGATAGATATTACCTAACATTTTTGTTTTTATTACCTCTAAGTTACACATGCTTAAGTAGTCACTACTGATACCTATGCATTTTCTCCCTTGGCATGTGACATTGACATAAAAATTGTACATTGTACTTTAGTTTTCAGCAATTATTAATTATGTAATTTGGATCATCCCTCCCATTGAGTACTACTGGACAAGTGGGAAAAGGGTACATATTTGAAAAATCTGATGGAAAGTATGAAGGGGCTAACCAAGCAGTAAAGATTTGCCAGGCCAGGAACCAGGAGAAGGCAGAAATCTAGAAGAGCAAGTTGAGCTGCAGGGTTGCTTTTGTCCTGGGTGATGTTGGCTGCTCTGGGCAGTGTCTGAGACCTTTGAGGGCTAGGTGGATAAAGTCTACATCTAAAGGCTGTGGGTGCATATGTGGCACTGTAAATCCCTGGGATTAGGATGGGTCCCAAAGGGCTGATCCATAAGAGCAACACAGTCAGTTCTCAGGAGTGGCAGCTCAATTTTTGTTTGAGTGGTCCAGCAGTTTTCACTGCTCTTATTAAAAATTGTAATTGAGGATCTTCCCAGTGTCATAAAGAAGAAAAGAAATATACTTAAAAAGGTTTGAAAAGAAGGCACAAAACTCTTATAATTTGCAAATGGTAATATGCTGAATGCAGAAAATACAAATGATTAGAACACTCTTGAAGTTAATAAGATACATATATGTATAAATATATATATATATATATATATATATATTTTTTTTTTTTTTTTTTTTTTTTTGAGATGGAGTCTCGCTCTGTCGCCCAGGCTGGAGTGCAGTGGCGAGATCTCGGCTCACTGCAAGCTCCGCCTCCCAGATTTACTTAGGCCATTCTCCTGCCTCAGCCTCCCGAGTAGCTGGGATTACAGGCGCCCGCCACCATGCCCGGCTAATTTTTTGTATTTTTAGTAGAGATGGGGTTTCACCATGTTAGCCAGGATGGTCTCGATCTCCTGACCTTGTGATCTGCCTGCCTCAGATTCAAACTGAATGCATGATATGCACTCTTCTCTTTGATGTACTGTAACCCAAATACCATGTGTAATAAAAGTTAAACTTTCATTAATAAAAGGGAATTATTGTTAGCACATCTTATGTTTTATTACAGATGATCAGGAAAAGATGAAAAGAAAGGTATTTGCTCAATACATGTATGGATACATACACACAGACATAAATATCATTATAAAAACATAAAGAAGTAATGCTGATAACATTTACTGTCTTTATTTCTGTAAGTGCTCACATGGTTACAGCTGGTTATTTATTTATTTATTTACTTACTTATTTATTTGAGACAGGGTCTTGTTCTGTTGCCCAGGATGGAGTGCAGTGGCATTACCTTGGCTCACTGCAACCTCCACCTCCTGGGCACAAGTGATCCTTCTACCTCAACCTCCTAAGTAGCTGGGACTACAAGCACACCACCAAGTCTGACTAATTTTTTGTATTTATTTTCAGTAGAGATGGAGTTTCAGCATTTTGCTCAGGTTGGTCTCACATTCCTAGACTTAAGCAATCCACCTGCCTCAGCCTCCCAAAGTGCTGGGATTACAGGCATGAGCCACTGTGCTGGCCACAACTAGTATTTATAAATACTTTTTTTTTGTTGTTTTTCACTAACCATCCCATATTCCCATTGCTTTCAGCAAGTCCCTCAGCTGATCAGGTTTCTTTTCCTGCTTGGATGACTTAAACCTTCATTCCTGAAGGGTATGGGTCATTAGTAGTCCTACCTGACTTAGGTTGTTGTAGTTTTTATTGACTTTAATTATAGGGCAGAGTATTACTAAGAGATGCTCTAAAAGACCTCCTGTGTTCCAGACATAGTCCTATTTACTGCCATTGTGTAGTAGCAGACCAATTCCCCCTGATGACCAGGACCAATCACCCCAGACAGTGCAGTAACTCCTTCCTTTGTTGATTCAGAATCATGAGGAGCTGAAGGGCCCAGGTGGCTGTCTTAGCTTCCAGCTGAATGGTTCATTTCTGTGTCTCCTGTAGGATCATTCCTCCTTTTGTAAACCTCTAGATCCTGATCCTGTTCCTCCTGACTGGGCAAGATCTCCCAACCAGGGTCTCCAGCACCTCCTACAGGTGTGTTCAGGCTGGCAACATGTCTGTACTTTTCCTGGAACAGACCTCCCAGAAGAAGGGGCAGACTGCCATCTTTCCTGTTACATAGCCTTCAATGGTGATACCTTCAGGTACTGGAAAATCTGAGGCAACTAGGGACTGGAGCAGGCCCCCAGCAAACTGTAGCAGCCCTGCAGAAAAGTGGCCAGAATGTTAAAAGAGAAAACAAAAGAAGAGAAAAAAAAAATCCACTCAAAGGTCAGCAACCTCAAACATTGAGGGTAGATAAGCCCATAAAGATGAGAAGAAATCAGCGAAAGAATTTGATAACCAACCTGACAGAGCTGAAAAACACACTATAAGAATTTCATAGTGCACTCACAAGTATTAATAGCAGAATAGAGCAAGTGGAGAAAAGAATCTCAGTGCTTGAAGACTGGCTTTCTGAAATAAGACAAGAAGATGAGACTAGAGAAAAAATAATGAAAAGGAATGAACAAAACATCTGAAAAACATGGGATTATGTAAAGAAACTGAATGTATGAATGATTGGTGTACCTGAAAGAGATGGGGAGAATGGAATCAATTTGGAAAACATTTCAGGATATGATCCATGAGAACTTCCCCAACCTAGCTAGACAGGCCAACATTCAAATTCAGAAATGCAGAGGACCCCAGTAAGTTACTCCATTAGAAGATCATCCCCAAGATAAATAATCATCAGATGCTCCAAGGTTAAAATGAAAGAAAAAATAAGAAGGGTATCCAGAGAGAAAGGCCAGATCACCTACAAAGGGAAGCCCATCAGACTAACAGTGGATCTCTCAGTGGAAATCCTATAAGCCAGAAGAGATTGAGGGCCAATATTCAACATTCTTAAAGAAAAGAGTTTCCAACCCAGAATTTCATATCCAACCAAACTAAGCTTCATAAGCAAAGGAGAAATCAGATTCTTTTCAGGCAAACAAATGCCAAGGGAATTCATGACTACCAGACCTGCATTACAAGAACTCCTGAAGGAAGCACTAAACATGGAAAGACAGTTACCAGTCACTACAAAAACACAATGAAGTACACAGACTAGTGACACAATAAAACAACTGCATAAGCAAGTCTTCAAAGTAACTAGTTAACATCATGATGACAGGATCAAATCCATACATATCAATACTAACCCTAAATGTAAATGGGCTAAATGCCCCATTTAAAAGACATAGAGTGGCAAGCTGGATAAAGAACCAAGACCTATCAGTATGCTGTCTTCAATACACCGATTTCACATGCAATGACACACATAGGCTCAAAATAAAAAGATGGAAGAAAATTTACCAAGCAAATGGAAAGCAGAAAAAAAGCCAGGGTTGCAACCATTGTTTCTGACAAAACAGGCGTTAAACCAAAAAAGATAAAAAAAGACAAAGAAGGGCATTACATAATGGTAAAGGGTTCAATTCAACAAGGAGATCTAACTATCTGAAATATATATGCATCCTATACAGGAACACCCACATTCATAAAGTAGGTTCCTAGAGACCTTGAAAGAGACTTAGAATCTCACACAATAATAGTAAGAGATTTTAATACTCCACTGACAATATTAGACAGATTATTAAGACAGAAAATTAACGAAGATATTCAGGACCTGAACTCAGCCCTGCATCAAATGGACCTGATAAATATCTACAGAAGTCTTCACCCCAAAGCAATGGAATATACATTTTTTGCATTGTCACATGGCACTTACTCTAAAATCGATCACACAATTGGAAGTAAAACACTCCTCAGCAAATGCAAAAGAACTGAAATCATAACAAATAGTCACTTGGACCACAATGCAATCAGATTCAAAATAAAGACTAAGAAATTCACTCAAACCATACAATTACATAGAAATTGAATAACCTGTTCTTGAACGACTTTTGGGTAAATAATGAAATTAAGGCACAAATCAAGAAGTTCTTTGAAAATAATTAGAACAAAGATACAATGTACCAGAATCTCTGGGAAACAGCTAAGGCAGTGTTAAGAGAGAAATTTATAGCATTAAATGCCCACATCAAAAAGTTAGAAAGATTTCAAGTTAACAACCTAAAATCACAACCAAAAGAACTTGAGAACAAAGAGCAAACATATCCCTAAGCTAGCAGAAGACAAGACATAATAATAAAAAATTAACAAAGGTATTGTCTCCTGAAGGAGACAGAGACATGAAAAACCACTCAAAAGATCAACGAATTCAGGAGGTTTTTTTGTTTGTTTGTTTTTTGTTTTGAGATAGAGTTTCACTCTTGTTACCCAGGCAGGAGTGCAGTGGTGTGATCTCGGCTCATTGCAACCTCCGCCTCCCAGGTTCAAGCGATTCTCCTACCTCAGCCTCCCGAGTAGCTGGGACTATAGGTACCCGCCACCATGCTGGGCTAATTTTTTGTACTTTTAGTAAAGATGGGGTTTCACCCCGTTAGCCAGGATGGTCTCCATCTCCTGACCTCATGATCCCCTGCCTCAGCCTCCCAAAGTGCTGGGATTACAGGCGTGAGCCACTGTTCCCGGCCACTACCACTGACATTCTTCACAGAACTAGAAAAAACTATTTTAAAATTCACCTGGAACCAAAAAAGAGCCTGAATAGCCAAGGCAATCCTAAACAAAAGGAACAAAGCTGGAGGCATTACACTACCTGATTATTATTTTTTTTTTTTTGAGATGGAGTCTCACCCTGTCATCCAGGCTGGGGTGCAATTGTGTGATCCTGGCTCACTGCAACCTCTGCCTCCTGGGTTCAAGTGATTCTCCTTTTCTCAGCCTCCTGAGTAGCTGGGATTACAGGCACATGCCACCACGCTCAGCTAATTTTTTGTATCTTTAGTAGAGACAGGGTTTCACCTTGTTGACCAGACTGGTCTCAAACTCCTGACCTCATGATCCACCTGCCTCTGCCTCCCAAAGTGCTGGGATTACAGGCATGAGCCACCACGTCCAGTGTATGCTACCTGATTTCAACTATACTTCAAGGCTACAGTAACCGAAACAGCATGGTACTGGTACAAAAATAGACATATAGACCAATGGAACAGAATAGAGAACCCAGAAATAAGACCACACACAACTATGATCATTGACAAACCTGACAAAAACAAGCAATGGGGAAAGGATTCCCTATTCATAAATTGTGCTGGGATAACTGGCTAGCCATATGCAGAAGATTAAAATGGAACCCCTTTCTTACACCATATACCAAAATCACCTCAAAATGGATTAAAGACTTAAATGTAAGATCCAAAACTGTAAAAACCCTAACACAACCTAGGCAATACCATTTAGGACATAGGTATGGGCAATGATTTCATGACAAAGATGCCAAAAGTAAGTGCAACACAAGCAAAAATTGTCAAATGGGATCTAATTCGACTAAAGAGCTCTGCACAGCAAAAGAAACTATCAACAGAGTAAACAACCTACAGAATGGGGGAAAATTTTTTGCAAACTATGCATCTGACAAAAGTCTAATATCTATAAGGAATTTAAACAAATTTACAAGAAAAAACAAAACAACCCCATTAAAAAGTGGGCAAAGCATATAAACAGACACTTCTCAAAAGAAGGCATACATGCAGCCAACAAACATGAAAAATGCTCAACATCACTGATGATTGGAGAAATGCAAATCTAAACCACAATGAGATGCCATTTCACACCAGTCAGAATGGCTATTATTAAAAAGTCAAAAAATAACAGATGCTGGCAAAGTTGTGGAGAAAAAGGAATACTTATATACTCTTGGTGGAAGTGCAAATTAGGTCAGCCATTGTGGAAGACAGTGTGGTGATTTCTTGAAGACCTAAAGAGAGAAATACCATTCTACCCAAAGGAATATAAATTATTCTATTATAAAGACATAGGCACACATATGTTCATTGCAGCACTATTCACAATAGCAAAGACATGGAATCAACTTAAATGCCCACCAATTATAGACTGGATAAAGAAAACGTGATACATGTATACCATGGAACACTATGCAGCCAGAAAAAGGAATGTGATCATGTCCTTTGCAGGGACATGGATGGAGCTGGAAGCCATTATCCTTAGCAAACTAATGCAGAAACAGAAAACCAAATACTGCATGTTCTCACTTATAAGTGGGAGCTAAATGATGAGAATGCATAGAGACATAGAGGGGAATAGCACACACTGGGCACTGGGGTCTTTCAGAAGGTGGAGGGTGGGAGGAAGAAGAGGATCAGGGAAAATAACTAATGGGTAATAGGCTTAAAACCTGGGTGATTAAATAATCTGTGTACCAAACTCCCACAACACAAGTTTACCTGTAAAACAGCCTGCACTTGTACCCCTGAACTGAAAATAAAAGTTAAAAAAAGGAACTGATCTGTGGATTTTGCCTATTGCTGAGTAGGTCTATTTCAATTATGCAAACAAGCACTGAGGAAATAATCACAGAGTGGTCAGGGGCCCACTGGAACCACTGTGAGAATGGTTCATGTATGTTAGGGCTTCAGGTTTTCTATTCTTCCTAATGTAATCTTGGCAGGTTGTTTGTTTCCAGGAATTTATCCATTTCCTCCAGGTTTTCCAGTTTGTCAGTACACAATTGTTCATAATAGTCTCTGATGGTCTTTTGTACTTTTGCAATATCAGTTGTAATGTTTCTCTTTTCTTTTCTGATTTTGTTTGAGCCTGTTAGAAATAAAGCTCGAAGTCACAAAGAAAATGAGCACTTGAACAAAGGATTTCTCAGCAAGGCAATTTTTACTTCTGCAGAAGGGTGCTACCCATAAGCCTGATTGCCACAAGAGCACCCATAACAAGGGAAAGCCGGGGTTTTTATTCCTAACGCAAGTTGTTTCTACTATTGTGTCCTGTCTCCATTGGCTGGAGCTGGACCGCACAGTCTAAACTGATCCCAGTTGGCTAAAAACTTTAACTTTCCTAAATAAGGTAAAGGTGCAATGGGGAACAAAGGAAAGGAGGGGGTCACTTATGGGAAACCAGGAAGACAATAAGATTTCCAAATAAGGCAAGAGCATAGGCTGCAAGCTGGGACATGTCTGGGCATGTCTGGTCAGATCAGGCAGACTAGGAGTTAGGCCTTGGTTCAAGTACAAGAACATAGAATGTGTTTATTTCTTTACTGTATGTAACAACTACTTGGAGCACAATAAAGAGTCATTAGTAAATTAGAAGATTTGTTAGTATGAAGAGTAAGGGAAACTTAAAGAAGGATTTTTAAGAGGAACTATCTTCTTTTTTTGTTTGTTTTTTGTTTGTTTGTTTTGAGACAGAGTCTCACTCTGTAGCCCAGACTGGAGTGCAGTGGCGCAATTTAGGCTCACGGCAACCTCTGCCTCCTGGGCTCAAGCGATTCTCCTGCCTCAGTCTCCCGAGTAGCTCGGATTACAGGCACGTGCCACCACGCCCAGCTAATTTTTTTTTTCCTGTTTTCTTTTTTTTTTTTTAGTAGAGGCAGGGTTTCACCATGTTAGTCAGGATGGTCTCGATCTCCTGACCTCATGATCCGCCTGCCTCGGCCTCCCAAAGTGTTGGGATTACAGGTGTGAGCCGCTGCACCCGGCTGAGGAACTATCTTCTTAACACTTATCATTCTTAACCAAAAAGGAAAACTTTGGAGAGGTACTTTTATTCTTTACAGTTTCCCCCTCTTAATTTTACAGTTCTTCCTCTTCAAATCTCCTTAACATATCTTGATTTTGTTGCTCTTCTTAATCAGTTAGAAAGAACAACTTATCTGAGTAAGGGTGAGGAGAATTGAAAGGGGTTTTGGTAAGAGCCTTTTCTATAAGCCTTTGCACTAATCCACGAATGCAAGATATAATACAACATTCTACAAGGATAAGTACACTGATTATGAGAGCCAGTGAGGTGAGAATTGAGGACATGAGTCCTTTCCACTTAGCAAACCACCTTTCCATTAAGCTAGTGAAAGGATCATTTATTCCAGAGTTTTTAGCTAGTTCATTTGATGAAGCAGTAAGACCTTGTAGTGCTTTTATTATAGTTCGATCAGGGGCAGTATTATTAAGGATAAAAGTACAACATTGAGTTCCAATCATAACACAAACCTTGCCTTTTTCTGCTAGTATCATGTCTAGTGCTGTTCTATTTTCCCAAGTCATCTGACTGGTGGGTCCTAGTTGCTCAGCTATTCCCTCATAGCATCCCTTGTGCAATTAATGGGGTCAGCCCCCGCCAGGCCAGCCACTCCGTCTGGGAGGGAGGTGGGGGGTCAGCCCCCGCCCGGCCAGCCACCCCGTCCGGGAGGGAGGTTGGGGGGCAGCCCCTGCCCGGCCAGCTGCCCCGTCTGGGAGGGAGGTTGGGGGCGCCTCCACCCGGCCACTCCCCCGTCTGGGAGGTCGGGGGGCACCTCTGCCCGGCCGCCCCATCTGGGAAGTGAGGAGCCCTCTGCCCGGCCGCCACCCCGTCTGGGAGGTGTACCCAACAGCTCATTGAGAACGGGCCATGAGGACGATGGCAGTTTTGTCAAATAGAAGGGGGGGAAATGTGGGGAAAAGAAAGAGAGATCAGATTGTTACTGTGTGTAGAAAGAAGTAGACATGGGAGACTCCATTTTGTTCTGTACTAAGAAAAATTCTTCTGCCTTGGGATGCTGTCAATCTATAACCTTACCCCCAACCCTGTGCTCTCTGAAACATGTGCTGTGTCCACTCAGGGTTAAATGGATTAAGGGCGGTGCAAGATGTGCTTTGTTAAACAGATGCTTGAAGGCAGCATGCTCGTTAAGAGTCATCACCACTCCCTAATCTCAAGTACCCAGGGACACAAACACTGCAGAAGGCCGCAGGGTCCTCTGTCTAGGAAAACTAGAGACCCTTGTTCACATGTTTATCTGCTGACCTTCCCTCCACTATTGTCCTATGACCCTGCCAAATCCCCCTCTCCAAGAAACACCCAAGAATGATCAATAAATGCTAAAAAAAATAAAAATAAATAAAAAAAATGAATCATTGCTGATTGTAGTAAATATAATTTACCCAACCTACATTTTTTATTTTTCGAGATGGAGTCTCAGTCTGTCGCCCAGGCTGGAGTGCAGTGGTGTGATCTCGGCTCACTGCAACCTCCAACTCCCAGGTTGAAGTGACTCTCCTGAGTAGCTGGGATTATAGGTGCGTGCCACCACACCCAGCTAATTTTTGTATTTTTAGTAGAGACAGGGTTTCACTATGTTGGTCAGGCTGGTCTCAAACTCCTGACCTCGTGATCTGCCCGCCTTGGCCTCCCAAAGTGCTGCAATTACAGACGTGAGCCACTGCGCCTGGCTATCCAATCTATATTTTTATTGATAGTCACCCACCTGAATAATGACTTAAATCCTGCAGCTATTTGGTTTCAAGCTTTAAATTCATCTGGTACTCCAATAGCATCTATATAAACGTTGGGATCAAAAGACTCACAGGAACAGTTCTTGTACTACGATGCCTAGTTGTTAATTTTTTTTGTGAATGAAATGCCAGGGTGAAAGAGATAGCCAATTGAATTAGAGTGCAAGTACCACTCCAGTTATTTGGCAGAGTCTCCCACAAAGGTCCACCACAATACCACCATACATCTGCTCGGGGATGGATAAGGGAGGACTGATGGGTTAGCTCTTGGAAGTGCTTGACCTCACTGCATCCTGTCAGGTTTCCAAGGAAAGCCAGGTTTTCTCCCTGTTGTGAGAGACACGAAGCAAATTTGGTCCCAGAAGATGGAGGCTGAATGGCCTTCGGGGGCTGACCCGCAGGATGCTGGACCTCAGGGAATAGCAGAGAAAGTGTTTGACATGATTTATTACCCCAGGCTGTGGGGTCTTGGAGCAGAGCTACCATGCAGTCCATATCTGGTCTATTACAAGACCATCTCAGTGGAAAGGGGACAATTTGGGCCTCTGGTTTACCATGCGCCCAAGCATAACAATTGCTCTTATTTTGACTGTGGATGGAATATTTAATCCATTCCACCCAGGCAGTTGCATCCTGAGACCGTGTTTCAATGGCTAGAGTTTGCCTCAGGTCTTTTACTTCTACTTTAGCTACTTTGGTTTTGTCACTGGGTATAGGTGGGGTGATGGTTTGAGGAAGATGTGATAGAGAGGTGGAAGGGGCAATAAAGCAAATTTCAAAAATTCCCCTAGGATCCTTTCCTGAGATGTTGGCCTCTATGCCATAAATATGACTTAATGAAGGGGAAGAGTTTTGGGATGTTGCAATAGTAATAGTAAGCTGAATAGGATTACACTGGTTATATGGACAATCAGAAGAGGCAATCCCTTTTGTAAAATGGATATATGGCTTTAAGGACTGGCAAAGACTGGTGGGAGCAGTCCAGCCTGGACCTTTGTTGTTCCATAGGACATTAGACCAAGTATAGCATAGGGACTCTGCTTTAAGGGGACAAGAGTCCCATTCCCACCAGTTAATACAGCTACTATTTTTGGGGTTATCATGATCTTTACAAGAATTTGTTATATCTTTCCAATCTGAGGAAGTTCAAGAGGGACAAAGATATTTATCTGAGGCAGTAAGCTGTCTTTGGTCCTGTAAATTTCCACAAGGCATGACTAGAGAAGCATCAAAGGTAATAATTTTGGGCAAACTTGATCTAGTTACATTAATGATGAGATGGGGGCAGTTAAGGGAAGAAAAGAAGAAAAAGAGATAGATTAAGTTTTTCTTTTTATTGTTACTCTGGTGGGAGTTGACGGAATAATGGTCCATGTCTCTGGAGAAGGTGACGCCTACTTGACTCGAGTATAATGGGCCCACCCTTTCTCAGTGGTCCGAACTACTGTTTCAGTTGTTGTGAGCACCAGATAGGGTCCTTCCCAGGTAGGCTCAAGCTTTCCCTCTTTTCAGCCTTTGATAAGGACGTGTGATCTCCGGGTTGATGTTGGTGGGCCCGGAATTCAAGGGGTGGAGTCTGTGCTACCAGACCTTGAGTCCTGAGGGAAGAAAGAGTGGAAGACAGACCAAATACATAATTTCTAAGGAACTGATCTTTTGTTTCGATCATAGGAAGGTCAGTAGTAGTGTTTAGATAAGGTAACCCATAAAGCATTTCATAAGAAGACAAGCCAAGATCCCTCCGAAGAGAAGTTTGGATTCTTAGTAAAGCAATGGGAAGAGATTTTGTCCATGGTAGGCGAGTTTCTAAAATTAATTTGGTTAGATGACTCTTTAAAGTTTGATTCATTCTTTCTACTCTCCCTGATGAAGATGGAGGCCAGGAAGTATGATATTCCCATTTTATCCCTAATACTTGGATTAGTCCTTTAATAATGTACATGGTAAATTGGGTCCCATTATCTGAATCAATGTTCTCTATTATTCCAAACCTGGATATGATATGTTCTAACAGACCTTTGACCACATTACTGGCTGTTGCACTTGGAAAGGGGATGGCTTCTACCCAGTGGGTAAGATGATCTACTATTACCGATAAATACTTAAGGCGGCCTATTGGGGGCATTTCAGTAGAGTCAGCTTGGACACTTTGAAATGGCCTTAACCCAGGATTTCTCCCTCCGGGAGGTTGTCTTTTGAGGGTCTGCTTATTAGATTTTCTGCACACTATATAACTTTCCACCATTTGCTTGGCGAGGGTGTATATTCCTATGCACCCATAAACCCTAAGGACTGCATCACACATGGTTTGAGGACCCCAGTGACATCCTTGATGAAGCTGTGACAATATTTCCCTCATAAGGTTTGGATAACATTTCCCTTCCATCTGGTAATACCCACTTTCCTTTTGAGTTTTCTTCAGCTCCTTTTTTTTTTAGTTTTTCCTGATCTGTTTGAGAGAAGATAGGGAGTGCAGCTGAAGATGGAAGACAAGGGGTTAGTCGAAAAATGGGTTCTGCTGGAGAATAGGCAGCTTGCTTAGCTATTTGGTCAGTGAGATTATTTCCCTGGCCTTCAAATAAAGGATTCCTTTGATGTCGTGGGACATGTACAACAGCTATTTCTTTTGGCAATTGTATATTTTCTAGTACTTGTATTATTAGGTCCCTATGGTCTAAAATTTGACCTTTGCTGTTAATGAGGCCCCGCTCAGTCCAAATTTTTTCAAAAGTATGGACTACTCCAAAGGCATACCTGGAGTCTGTATAGATTGTTGCTTCTTGATTTGCAGAAATTTTAAGGCCTGATTTAATGTGAACAACTCACATGTTTGTGCAGACCAGTCATTTGGTAACCTTTCAGACTCTATTTCTGTGAGGGTATCTCCATCTATCGTTAAATACCCGTTATGCCTTTTTCCTTTGATTACTCGGGAGGAACCATCTACAGACAGGTGTTTCCCAGTATGAAAGGGTGTTTCATTTAGATCAGGTCTAACTTCTGTTTGATAACTAATTAAATCTAAACATCTGTGCTCTGGGCAAAGATCAGGGGTCTGTGGGTTGGGGTTTCCCGTTAAGAAAGCAGCTGGATTAATTGAGTCATCAGTGGTTAAGATTAGATCATCTCTTTCTAACAAGATGGCTTCATACTTTAAAATTCTTGAATCAATAAGCCACCTTCCCGCCTTCTAATTGAGAATTGTTCTCACTTGTTGAGGAGTACTAATGATAAGATTTCCCCAAAGGTTAATTTTCTGCTCTCCTCTATGAGCAAGGCTGTTGCTGCCACTGATTGGACACACTCGGGCCATCCATGGGCTACTGGGTCAAGAATTTTTGACAAGAAGCCTATGGGTTGCCAATGGCCTCCGTGTGTTTGAGTAAGTACCCCTAAGGCTACTTCATTACCTACATTAACAAAAAGATGAAAGGGCAATTCTAAAGAGGGTAAGGCTAGAACATGGGCTGTCACTAGTAACTCTTTTAATTTTTTTATCTGCTGTATTTCTTGTAAAACCATATAAGGGGGTCCAATTCATCCTGTGTAAGTTTTTTTTATGTAGAGGTTTGGTTACTAAAGCATAAGAGTCTATCCATAAGCAACAATACCCTACTAACCCTAAAAACTTTCTAAGTTCCTTCTTTGTCTCAGGATATCATATGAAGGATATGATGCCTTCAATCCATTCAAATCCAATTATCCATTTGCCCTTACTGATTAAGTCCCCTAAATACTTGACTTCAGGTTCTACAAACCGAAGTTTGCTTTTTTGACACTCGTAACCCCTCCAGTTGCAAATTATTTTTAAAAAACCTATTGAAAATCCTTCCACTTTTTGTCTATCCTCCCCTGAAATAAGGATATTATCCATGTATTGGAGCAGGCATATATATGGTGGTTTGTAAAACTTTTCTATGATCTGTTCTAGTATTTGACCAAACAAATTTGGAGATTCTGTAAATCCCTGGGGCAAAACTGTCCATCGATACTGTTATTTTCAACCAGAGTGAGGGTCCTCCCATTCAAAGGCTATCTTTGCTAGTGGGCAAGCCCAGAAGGCATCCTTTAGATCTATTACTGTGAACCACTCATGGTTGTAAGGAATTTTACTAATAATAGCATAAGGATTAGGATCGACAGAGTGAGTTGTTTGAACTATTTGATTAATAGATCGAAGATCTTGCACTAGCCGATATGACCCCTCTGGCTTTTTCACAGGCAGTATGGGAGTGTTATAAGGAGACGTACAGGGTTCAATGAGTCCACCATGGAGAAGGCTTTCCATTATGGGCTTTAAATTGATCTTAGCTTCTAAGGGAATTGGATATTGTTTTCTTTTTACCTCTTGCCCCAGGTTTTTCAATTTAACTTGGATTGGGGAAATTTGTAACTTTCCTCAGTTTCCTTCCTTTGACCATACATCTGGATGGATGTATCCCTCATTTAGAGTAGCAAGCAAATTTAAGGAGGGGAGGAGATTTCCTTGATTAACACAAAGGCCTAGGTTTAATTTTAGCATTAAATCTCTTCCTAATAGGTTTGTTCCTGCCTCCAGGATTAACAGAAGTTTAATATTTACTGAGTGTTTCTGATATTTAATTTTTGTTTCTTCTAAGACTTTTGCTTTAAACCCCTCCCCTTTTGCTCCCAAAATAAAAAGTTCTTCTTGTGACCAAGTTACACCAGGGGAAGATAACAAACTGAGGAATCAGCAGCTCCTGAGTCAATTAAAAAGGTCTGGGTCCCACCTCTAAATTTATCAAGGGCTCTTGGTGGGACTCGAGGTAAAAAGAGTAGAGCCCCTGGCCCCCCATTCCTCCTCAAAGATCATAAGTGGGGTGATTTCTTTTTCTTTTTTCCATTCAGGGCATTCTCTTTTAAAGTGACCTTCCTTCCCACACTTGAAGCATTTATTCTGCCCTATTCCTCTTTTTATTCCCTTGTTCCCTGGTTTGATTCCTTTACCTCCATTATAGAGTCTGACAGTCGGGTACCTAAAAGATTTACCGGCGATATTTCTTTGAGCTGTCTATTGGGGAGTTCCCTGCTTTAAGAACAGCACAATCTTTGCCTTGTGCTTTTGCTTTTCTTCATCCCTTCGTACATACACCTTTTGGGCCTCCCTTAAGAGTTCCTTTATGGGACAGTCCTTTCAATTTTCTATCTTTTGTAATTTCTTGGTAACATCTGGCCAGCTATTTGTGACAAAGTGAAGCGTTTAACATTCCTTGTCCAAGTGGGTCTCCTCCATCTAAACCAGCATATTTCCTCATTTGTTCCTTAAGCCTATTAAAATATTCCATAGGCCCCTCTTCTTTTCCTTGCTGTATATTAAAAGCTTTGGTCATATTCTGGGTGCGGGGTACTGATTCTCTAATTCCTTTTATTATCATTTCTTGCAGGTCTCTCATATTCCTCCTATGAGCTATGTTGTTATTATCCCACTGGGGATCTTAAGCAGGAAATTTCTGTTTGGCTGCAGGGACGTTTTGACCGGGAGGATGCTCACACTCCCAGATGGTCATAGCGGCCCTGTGCGTCATGCTCCTTTCTTCCCCTGAAAAAAGGATGCCTATGATGGACATAAACTTAGCCCCAGTATACAACTGGGGTCCTAAAAATTGATCAATTTGATCTGCCACTCCATAGGGATCGTCTAAGAGTGGCTTGAGTTCCCTCTTCAAGCTCTGGACTTCCGAACTGGTCAGGGGAGCATTTAAAAAGCCAATGCCCGCTCCTCCTAGAGGCACTTCCCTCAGTGGGAAGAGGTTTGTAGCCAAACCCCTAGAGGAAGGGGGAAAAGGGAAGTTTTGGATATCATTTTTACATTGTTCTAACTCACGTTGAAGTCTTCCTGAGGGAGGGCATTCAAGCTGGGGATGACCCCAAGAATCAGGGTTAAAAGGAGGGAAAAAAAGTCTGAGTAGGGGAAAGGTCTGGGACTGTTATTTCTACTGAAGGGGGAGGTGGGGGATGTTGGTCTACTGGGTGGGGGGAAGAAGTTTTGGTGGGGGAAGATGGTCTAAGGCATCCCACGTGTTGGTGGGGTTCTTGGAGTAAGGGGTATTAATTTCATGAGAAGTAGTTTCTGGCTTGTCTCCTTTGGTTTTTAGATGACAAAGGAGGATGGGCCCTTGCTGCCAACACAGAGCATAATGTATTTCCTCCTGGGAAACAGGACTCTTATCATTTACACATTCTATTAAAAGTTGGCAAGTCCAAGCCTCATTTGACCCGAATTTTGGCCAGAAAACTGAAGGCTTTAGAATAGGTTCCTTGGTCCAAATGAAACAATAATACTTTATCATCTGTTGCTTTTTCTTATGTTTAGTCCTCTCGTATTCTTCCAATATTTTAACATGAGTCCTAAAGGACTATCAGAGGTGATTTCACTGTTTGCCTTTTCCTTTTTACCTTCTGTCTTACTCAGGGTATTTCCCATGTTGAATACTGGTTAGGCTCAGTCCCTCAAACTAGAGATTTCTTGCCTATCCTTCCCTGGAGGTTTAACCCCCACCCTGGAGGTTCCTTGCAATCTTCTCCTTTTGCTTCATCCACTCTGGCTGCTTTCCCAGAGGAAATTAGGCTCCCCTTAGCATCAGCAGGACTGTATGAACCCCAATGTCAGGATCCCTACAAGAGGGCCATCATAAGCCACATGAGGTGACCACGGAACCACAGATTGAACTCACTCACTCTGCACAGCAGTAGTGCTTGTTACCTTTCACACCCTTTAACCTCCAGAATATCCCGACCACCAAGGAAATACTGTTGCCCGTGTGACTTTTTTTACCTTGGTCTCTGCACAGAGTTAGCTGGTCATCGCGGTACTTGTGGGCCTTCTCCTTCCACATTGCTGAGAGCCTGAATTTATTCATCACAATGGGTAGTCTCAATCTCCCGTCCCTGGGGCCACTGCAGTGGGGTACACCTCCCCTAGATGGGGTGACCAAAGACCCCTTCCCATAGGAGAATGGGAATCCTGGAAGAGCCCCCATAAAATAGTTAGAAATAAAGCTTGGAGTCACAAAGGAAATGAACACTTGATCAAAGGATTTCTCAGCAAGGCAATTTTTACTTCTGCAGAAGGGTGCTACCTGTAAGCCTGATTGCCACGAGAGCAACCAGAACAAAGGAAAGCAGGGGTTTTTATTCCTAACGCAATTTGTTTCTACTATTGTGTCCTGTCTCCATTGGCTGGAACTGGACCACACAATCTAAACTGATCCCAGTTGGCTAAAAACTTAAACTTTCCCAAATAAGGTAAAGGCACAATGGGGAACCAAGGAAAGGAGGGGGTCGCTTATGGGAAACCAGGAAGACAATAATATTTCCAAATAAGGAAAGAGCATAGGCTGCAAGCTGTGACATGCCTGGGCGTGTCCAGGCAGATCCAGGCAGACTAGGGAACAAAGGAGTTAGGCCTTGGTTCAAGTACAAGAACATAGAATGTGTTTATTTGTTTACTGTATGTAACAACTCCTTTGGGGCACAATAAAGAGTCATTAGTAAAATAGAAGATTTGTTAGTATGAAGAGCGAGGGAAACTTAAAGGAAGCTTTTAAGAGGAACTATCTTCTTAAGACTTATCATTCTAAACCAAAAAGGAAAACTTTGAAGAGGAACTTTTATTCTTAATAAATTTTCTCTCTTTTTTTCTGGGTTTGTTTAGCTAGTGGTTTATCAATTTTGTTTATGTTTTTGAAGAACAAACTTTTCACTTTGTTGATCATTTACATGGTTTTTAAAAGTCTTTATTTATTTCTACTATGATCTTTATTATTTCTTTTCTGCTAATTTTGGATATGTTTTTTTCTTGCTTTTCTGGTTCCATGAGGTTCATTGTTATATTGTTAATTTGTAATGTTTCTACTTTTCTTAGGTGGGTATTTATTGCTATAAACCTCCCTTTTAGCCCTGTTTAGCTGTATCCCACAGGTTTTGGTATGTTGTGTTTCCATTTTCATTTATTTCAAGAAACTTTTTGATTTACATCTTAATTTCTCTGTTGACTCAATGGTTATTCAGGAGCAGGTTGCTTAATTTCCATGTATTGGTCTAGTTGCCAACATTTCTCTTGGTGTATATTTCTAGTTTTATTCCATTGTGGCCAGAGAAGATATTTAATATGATTTCAATTTTTGAAAATTTGTTGAGACTTGTTTTGTGGCTTAACATAGGCTCTCTCCCGGAAAATGTTCCATGTGTTCATGAAAAGAGTGTGTATTCTGTAGTGTTAGAGAGAATGCTCTGTAAATATCTGTTAGCTTTATTTGGTGTAAAATTCAGTTTAAATCTAATGTTTCTTTCTTGATTTTCTGTGTAGATGATCTGTCTTATGCTGAGGTTGGGATGTTGAAGTCCCCCACTATTATTGTATTGGAGTCTATCTCTCTTGTTAGATGTAGTAATATTTGTTTTATGAATCTAGTGCTCCAATGTTTAGTGCATATATATTTAGAATTGTTCTATTCTCTTCTTGGATGGATCTCTTTATGATTATGTGATGGCCTTCCTTATCTTTTAAAAAAATTGTTCTTGACTTACTGTTTATTTTATCTGCTATAAGTATAGCTACTCCTGCTCACTTTTGGTTTCGATACATAACCTGTTGCCATTCTTTTACCTTCTGTCTCTATGGATTGTGGTGAGGTGGTATTACCAGTGAGTTTTTTTGTAAGCAGAATGTAGTTAGATCATGTTTTCTACCCATTCAGCCATTCTACATCTTATAAGTGGAGAATTTAATCTGTTTACATTCCAGATTTTTATTAATATGTGAGGCTTTGTGCTGAGACCAACTCAGCTGGGGAGACCCTAACCCAGCAGCGCTAGAGAAATTAAAGACACACACACAGAAATATACAGGTGTGAAGTGGGAAATCAGGGGTCTCCCAGCCTTCAGAGCTGACAGCCTCGAATAGAGATTTACCCCTGTATTTATTAACTCAAGCCAGTGATAAGCATTGTTTCTATAGATTATAGATTAACTAAAAGTATTCCTTATGGGAAACAAAGGGATGGGCCAAAATAAAAGGATAGGTTTGGCTAGTTATCTGCAGCAGGAGCATGTCTTTAAGGCACAGATCGCTCATGCTATTGTTTGTGGTTGAAGAACAACTTGAAGCAGTTTTCTGCCCTGAGTGGGCCAGGTGTTCCTTGCCCTCATTCTGGTAAACCCACAACCTTCCAGTGTGGGCGTCATGGCCATCATTAACATGTCACAGTGCTGCAGAGATTTTGTTTATGGCCAGTTTTGGGGCCAGTTTATGGCCAGATTTTTGGGGTCCTGTTCCCAACAGCTTTGTTCCTTTCACACTGTTGTTTTCTGGTTGTTTTATATGTCTTTTGTTATTGTCTTTTTCTCTTATTGCTTGTCATTATGCTTTGGTGGATTTCTGTAGTAGGACCATCTGAGAACTTTCTCTTCCTGTTTTGTGTGATTGCTTTACCAGTGAGTTTTATACTTGTGTATGTTCTCATGGTGATAATGTGGAAATGTTGAAAATGTTGTCCTTTCAATTCCAGGTTTAGGACTTTCTTGAGCATTTCCTGTAGGCCCTGTCTAGTGATAACGAAGCCTTTCAGCATTTGCTTGTCTTGGAAAGACAATTTCTTTTTCAATTATGAAGAATAATTTATGTTTTGTTTATTACTCTTGGCTTGGCAGTTCTTTTCTTTCAGGACTTTGATTATGCTATCCTATTCTCTTCTGGCCTGTAAGATTTCTGCAAGAAATCTGCTGTTAGAGCTGGGCACAGTGGCTCACACCTGTAATCCCAGCACTTTGGGAGGCTGAGGTGGGCGGATCATGAGGTCAAGAGATAAAGACCATCCTGGCCAACATGGTGAAATCCCATCTCTACTAAATATACAAAAAAAAAAAAAAAATTAGCTGGGTGTGGTGGCTTGTACCTGTCATCCCAGCTACTTGGGAGGCTGAGGCAGGAGATCACCTGAACCCAGGAGGCGGAGGTTGCAGTGAACCGAGATCATGCCACTGCACTCCAGCCTGGCAACATAGCGAGACTCTGTTTCAAAAAAAAGAAAAAAGAAAAAGAAATCTGTTGTTAGTCTGATGGGGTTTCCTTTCTTGGTGACTAAATGCTTTTCTCTTACTATTTTTAGGATTTACGTTTTACCTTAAACTATAGAAAGTCTGATTATATGCCATGGAGAAGAACTTTTTGCACTGTATTTTTCTCAGAATTGTTGAACATTTTGTATCTGAATGTCTAAATCACTTGCTAGAGTTGGGAATTATTCATCTATTCTTTCATTAAATAGGTTTTCTAATCTGTTCTTTGTCTCTTTGCTCTTGAGGATACCGATAATTTGAATATTTGGTTGTTTATATTGTACCAAATGTCACAAAGGCTTTGCTCATTCTTTTTGTGTGTGTGTTTTTGTCTTATTGAATTATTTCACGATGTATATCTTCAAGTTTTGGAATTCTTCCTTCTGCCCGACCTAGTATATTGTTGAAGCTTTCAAATGTATTTGGAATTTCATGTCATGAATTCTTTAATTCCAGAATTTCTATTTGTTTTTTTTAAATCTATATCTTTTGTAAACTTCTTATTCATATCCTGAATTATTTTTAGGCTTTCTTGGTATTTTTTTTTCAGAATTCTTTTGTATCTCATTGAACTTCTGTAAAATAAATATTTTGAATCCTTTATCTGGAATCTTGAAAATTTCTTTTTGATTAAGATCTATTGTCTTCCTTTGGGGCTTTTTTTTCTTTTTTTGCTTTTTCATGTTTCTGTGTCCTAACGTTAATATTTTTACATCTGATATCACGGTCAGTTTCCTATTTTTGAATTTTGTTTCATAGTGGATAACTTTTTCCTGAAGATGAGTCTATGATGTTGGTTGTGTGGGGTACTTTGGATTTGATTCTGGGTGTAGTACATAGTAGAGTACTATGGTCTCTGTGTAATTTCTTTGGCTGTAGGCAGTGTTAATGGTATCTGTGATTTCTTCTGTGCATTAGGGTGTGGTTATTAGTGAGGCTGTGGTGAAGATGTGCTGGGGACTGGGATGCCATATGAGACAGTCTTCAGGCTCCAACAGTGGCAGTGGTGTGCTGAGTGTTCCTATCTTTGTGCCCCAAGGTGGTGTATACTGGCATTCGTGTTGGTGGTTACTGGTGGGCTGATTCCTGGGCCTCCAGGTGGCCTGCTTGGATGCCAGTAGTGGCAGAGGTTGACTGGGTGGGTGGGTGGGGTCTTCGGCTCCTGGGCAGCTAGCTTGGCAGTGGCAGTGGTGGGCTGCTTCTCTGGGTCCAAGCAGTGTGCATTGTTAGCGGCAGCTGTGATAGGCTGGGTGGGTTGCCCATAGGTGGTGTTTGCAGGTAGGTGACAGATAGGGTGATTGCCCCCAACCTCAGGTACCCAGAAGGAGTGCACAGGTGCCCAAGGTGGTGGATTGGGGAGAGGAATTCCCAGGCCCCAGGGCTGTGTTCTCTGTCTCGGTGGGAGGGGGCGATGAAGCTGTCTCTTCATCATTAAATGCTGTACCAACTAGTCCCTTAATTTTCTTTTTGCCTAGAGGACTGAAACATTTATTATAGTTTAGGTCTGCTGGTTATTTTTTCACTCCCTATATGTCTAAAATCCAATTGTTTGTTTATTTATTTATTTATTTATTTTTAAGACAGAGTCTCACTCTATTGCCCAGGCTGGAGTGCAATGATGTGATATTGGCTCACTGCAACCTCAGCCTCCCGTGTTCAAGTGATTCTCCTGCTTCAGCCCCTTGAGTAGCTGGGAATTACAGGCGCATGCCACCATGCTTAGCTAATTTTTGTATTTTTAGTAGAGACGAGGTTTCACCATGTTGGTCAGGCTGGTCTTGAACTCCTGACTTCATGATCTGTCCACCTCGGCCTCCCAAAGTGTTGGGATGACAGGCATGAGCCACCGTGCCTGGCCTAAAATCCCTTTATTTTTTGATAGATATATTCAAGGTATGTTAGCTTAATTTAATCATTACACATGGTATACATATATCAATACATCAAACAATATCTTACGAATGTATTATAATTTGTCAATTAAACTTATACGTATATATTTGAAAAAGGTTTATTTTCTGGGACTAGAATCTAGTTTCACAGCATTTTCCTTTTAGGACTCTAAAGATGTTGCTCATCTGTCTCCTCATTTGCATTGTTTCCAATGAAATAACTGCTGTCATCTTTATTATTATTCTTATTTTTTCACTTTCTGCTTTTTCAATTTTCTCTTCTTCTGTGGTTTTCAACAAATACATGTATTTGTTGAAAATTATAGAATTTTCCCAGAATTATAGAGTGAACTTGAGAAACAAGTTCACTCTATAGGCTTTTTGACTATTGGTTGTAAATTTTTAGAAACACTTGTTTGCTCCTTGTTTTATTAGGTCACAGGCTAATTTCCTCAGAGTATTCTTATATTGAAGAATATCATAATTAATTTTATTGGTCATCCCTAAAACCATAAAAACCCTAGAAGAAAAGCTAGGCAATACCATTCAGGCCATAGGCATGGGCAAGGACTTCATGACTAAAACACCAAAAGCAATGGCAACAAAAGTCAACATTAACAAATGGGATCTAATTAAACTAAAGAGCTTCTGCACCACAAAAGAACTACCATCAGAATGAACAGGCAACCTACAGAATAGGAGAAAATTCTTACAATACTTACAATCCTTACAATCTACCCATCTGACAAAGGGCTAATATCCAGAATCTACAAAGAACTCAAATAAATTTACAAGAAAAAATCAAACAACCCCATCAAAAAGTGGGCAAAGGATATGAACTACACTTCTCAAAAGAAAACATTTATGTAGCCAACAGACACATGAAAAAATGCTCATCATCACCGGCCATCAGATAAATGCAAATCAAAACCACAATGAGATACCATCTCACATTAGTTAGAATGGCGATCATTAAAAAGTCAGGAAACAACAGGTGCTGGAGAGGATGTGGAGAAATAGGAACACTTTTACACTGTTGGTGGGACTGTAAACTAGTTCAACCGTTGTGGAAGACAGTGTGGCAACTCCTCAAGGATCTAGAACTAGAAATACCATTTGACCCAGTGATCCCATTACTGGGCGTATACCCAAAGGATTATAAATCATGCTGCTATAAAGACACATGCACACATATGTTTATTGCGGCAGTATTCACATAGCAAAGACTTGGAACCAACCCAAATGTCCATCAATGATAGACGGGATTGAGAAAATGTGGCACATATACACCATGGAATACTATGCAGCCATAAAAAAGGATGAGTTCATGTCCTTTGTAGGGACATGGATGAAGCTGGAAACCATCATTCTGAGCAAACTATCCCAAGGACAGAAAACCAAACACCGCATGTTCTCACTCATAAGTTGGAATTGAACAATGAGAACACTTGGACACAGGGTGGGGAACATCACACACTGGGGCCTGTCATGGGGTGGGGGCAGTGGGAAGGGATAGCATTGGGAGATATACCTAATATAAATGATGAGTTAATGGGTGCGGCACACCAATATGGCACATGTATACATATGTAACAAACCTGCACGTTGTGCACATGTACCCTAGAACTTAAAGTATAATAATAAAAAAAAATTATTGATCATCTTGGCTAAAGCATGTTGCCTAGATAGGTAGTCAAGCATTATTCTGGATGATTTGTGAGGACATTTGTTGGATGAGATTAACATATAAATAGCTAGACTTTGAATAAAGTAGATTGATGTCTATCATGTGGGTGGGCTTCATTCAATTCATTGAAGGCATAAATTAAACAAAACACTGACCTTCCTCGAGCAAGATGGAACTCTGTAGCACACAGCGCAGGGATTTGAACTGCAGTATCCATCAACTGACCCACAAACAGCTGGTTGGTTTGTGTATAGCATTTGCAAGATGAATGAACAACATCCTGTTTGGAAGTCCACCTCTTTGATCAAACAAGGTAAAAACAGAAGGGCTCTTGTGGACTTAATTGCATGGTGTTTTCTTAGCAGTGGTGGAAGAATTGAGCAATGATAAAGCTCCTACGTTTTAGTTTTTACTGACTTAAAGGGAGTGACTAATGGCCTGGCCATATAATTAATCAGGAGAGCAATGAAAAACTTGCCTATGAAAAGAATGCCCATGTGAGCCAAGTCCCACGGAAATCACTATGGTAATTTGAGGGGTTCATTAATGTAAGATCTGTTGATACCTGATATAGATTGGATGCTGTTCTCATGTCGAGATGTGATCCCCAGCATTGTAGGTGGGGCCTGGAGGGAGGGAGGTGGTTGGATCACGAGGTCAGTTTCTCATGAATCCTTTAGCACCGTCCCCTCAGTGCTGTTCAGTGTCCCTCAGAATAACTCCCTTCCAGGTTTGGAAGGTGATTGAAATCAACAAGAATTTATCTCCAAGTGTTTGCCAGGTGCACCTGTAATTTCAGCTATGAAAGCAGCTGAGGCAGAAGGATATCTTGAGTCCAGGAGTTAGAGTTTAGCCTCAGCAACACTTGAGGCCAGCCAGGGAAACATATCAAGACCACATCTCAAAAACAACAACAACAACAACAAAAAATCCAGGTTTGCTTGTGGTGATCACCTGAGTCCGTGAAATGAATAGACATTGGGGTTGTAGCAATGCAGAGATAGGTGGAATCAAGACATATTCCTCTTGCATTCCACACATCACAGGCAAAAAATACACATAAGAAGTGCTTTCTTTAACAAAAAAAGGAGAGCTAGCATATGGCTATGTGGCAGATTCTTTTATGCCAGGGCCTTGAAAATACATAGCTGGCAAGTTAGACTGATACCAGTAGCCCCAGGAAGCAGCAAATGGGTCTTGGCAGGAACAGATCCTCACCCTGGAATGGGCTTTGTTCAGCTGGTGGCAGGTGTGTTACCAAACTGAACTGGGGTCCACTCACCTGGGGCAGTAAAAGCAAACATCCACACTGAGAATGTAGTGGGAGAAAGGAGGGCATTTATGTGTAGGGCACCAAACAAGGAGAATTGGGCAGCTCACGCTTAAGACCCAACTTTTTGATGGCTCACAAGCAAGAATTTTTAAAGGCAGGGGCAAATTTCGGGACAGCAGAGTTACAGGCAACATCATAAATCAATGCATAGAAGTTATACACTGCTTTGGCCTTAAAAGGTGGAATATCCTGATGAGGGAGCTTACAGGTCTTAGGTAGATGTAAAGATTCTCTGATTTGTGATAGATAAGAAAGTGAAGCTTCTTTAAGCAGCTTCCTTACACAGTTGGGGGCAGTAGAGAGGAATGTTCAGGCCTGGCCTGTGGGCTTTACTCTCTCCAGGCCCCTCAGGAAGAAATTTAGAACAAAGAACGGCGGTCAGAGTTCAGTCCTCAGTTTCCCCTTTATAAGATCTCCCTGTCAGTGGATCTATTAGGTGGGAATCCATGTTTCTGAAAAACAACTCAGGGGCATATGTTAAGGTGTTATTTTTAGTTTCTATAGAGAATCAAACATCTTGTGACTCTAACTTCCTTGGCTGTTGTTTTAAGCTATCATTACCATCTTGCTTATAAGGTCACTCACTACTTTTTAGGGCTGGCTAGGTACCTGGAATTTCTCTTGAAGGAACTAAAGGTTTTTCTTTATTTCCAGGTTGGGAGGCCCTGGCAGGCTTCTAAGAGAGGTCCCTGCTTTATCTCAGAGGCAAATGCTCGGAGTGTTACAAAAGAACCTGAATGGGAGGTACTGCAACCATGTGGACCACAGAGTCATATTTCTTTACACCAGAAAATGCACCTGCTCAAAATGTCCAACAATGGTCAGAGAGATATCCTTCTCAGAGGAAGAGTTCTGTAGAGAATTAAAATAGTCAATTGGGTGTGTAAAGGCAAGAGTGGGGAAACAAGCACAAAGGGTGGTCTTATACACCTTCTTGAGTGTGCTCGCACTTGACGTGAGAGTATCCTCTCTTTTCCTGGTGGATCAGGGGAAGGTGCTGGTGTGATCTACATATATTCCTCCCCAAGGTGGGAGGACACTGGAATGATGACTGTAATTCACCTCAACTTGCTTTTCTCATACCTGATGCAGTGGTCCCAGGACTAGGGATGCAAATAGAGTCCAGAAACAGGAATTATTCCTGAGCAAGAAACTGTAAATATATTTTATGTCCATTATGTAATAATTCCTAAGGGCCTGTAGAAGTAGGTTGTGCCTTCACTGCATCTGGCAAAGTTGGGGCTAACACTGAATGCAGCTGTATTGCCTGGGGTCAGATAGCCAACCAGTTCTCTACTGCATAACCCTACCCTCTATGAACTGGAATGGATGACGGGAGACACTTGCTAGAACAGTATTGCTCCCTGCAGTCTCAGCCAGCACAGCAGCAGAACCTAGTGTTCCTTCCAAAATTATAAATGTTTAGTATAAATGAAGGGAAGGAGAAATAGTAGCTGAGGGTAAATGAATGAATAAATGGGTTATGTAATGAGGAAAATCCAATGTTACATGAACTACTTGAAAGAGGTATAAGCAAGAGATGATATTGTCTCTTAGCTCAATTTTACCAGTTGCCTGAAAGCGTGCAGTCATATGTTGCTGAAACTATTCCTGTTTATGGATTGCACTGGGATCATTGTTAATGACCAAAGAGGATTGTGGTAATGTGCCAGGGTCTTTTCACTGTTATGATTCTTCTGGTATAGGAGATCTGTGATTGGCCAGGCACAGTGGCTCACACTTGTAATTCCATCAGTTTGGGAGGCAATGGTAGGAATATTGTTTAAGGCCAGGAGTTTGAGACCAGACTGGGCAGAATAGTGAGACCCATTCCTACAAAATATTTAAAAATTAGTTGGGCATGGTGGTGTGTACCTGTAATGCTATCTACTCAGGAGGCTGAGGCAGAAGGATCACTTGAGTCCAGGAATTCGAGGTTAGAGTGAGCTATGATTGTGCCACTGCATTCTACCCTGGGCAACAGAGCAAGAGATTATCTCTAAAATAAAATAATAAATATTATAAAAAGAGATAATGTGGTCAAAACCAGGGTGTGATCTGTGGTCCAATAAAAATATTTGGTCTTTTCCCTGTTTCCTGACAACCAGGTTCTAAAACATTTGCAATCTCCTCAGTGATAAACAATGACTTCAATATGGCAATGAGATGACTATGGGGTGAGGGGCTCCTAGATAGCTTCAGGATGGGGGCTGGTTGCCAGAAACACGAAGCTGTGATTAGAGGATTGGAACTGTTAACCCCATCCCTAAAGTCTGGGAAGGAAAGAGAGGTTCGAGGTTGAGTTCAGTCACACAATGACCAGTGATTTAATTAGTCTTGCCTCCACAATGAAATTTCCATAGAAACCTCTGGGGATTGGGTTTCGGAGAGCTTCCCAATTGCTGAGCACATCCGTGTGTCCACGTGCTGGGAGGATGGTGAGCCCCATCTCCATGGGGACAGAGGCTCCTGTGCTCAGAGCCCTTCCAGGCCTCACCCTGTGCACCTCTTCATCTGGCTGCTCCTTTGTATCCTTTATAACTGCTATGGTTTGAATGTTTCCCCAAAAAAGCACCTGTTGGATATTTCATCCCGAATGCAACATTTTTAAGAAATAGGACTTTTGAGAGGTGATTGGACCATCAGAGCTCTGCCTTCATTAATGGACTAAGGCTCATCATAAAAGGACCTGAGGCTGAGTTTGACTTCCTTTTCCCCCCACCTCTCACCCTCTCTTGTCCTTTTGTTTTCTACCAGATAGAGTCCCTTGATCTGGGAATTCTCATCCTCGACACCATGAACGAGACAAATTTCTGTTTGTTATAAGTTATCCAGTCTCAGGAGTTCTGCTCTAGTGGCATAATTTAAACCAGGGGTCCTTAACCCCTGTCTGCGGACTGGTACAGGTTCCTGGCCTGGTAGGAACCAGACTGCACAGCAGGAGGTGATCGGTGGGTGAGAGAGCATGAGCATAACACCAGAGTTCCGCCTCCTGTCAGATCAGTGGCGGAATTAGATTCTCATAGAAGCACGAACCCTATTGTGAACTCTGCATGCGAGAGATCTAGGTTGCATGCTCCTTATGAAGCGCTAATGCCTGATCATCTGAGGTACAACAGTTTCATCCGAAACCATTTCCCTCTGCCCTCCACCACCTCCACTGGTCCATGGAAAAACTGTCTTCCATGAAACCGGTCCCAGGTGCCAAAAAGGTGGGGATTTAAGCTATAACAATAAAAAACTGCAATACTGAGTGTGAAAAGAAAATAAAATTTCAGGACTCCAAATTCACTATACCAAAAGGAAAAATTAAGTTTGGAGACTGATGGAAAAACTGCCTTTCTTTCGTTCCTAAACAAATAACTGCAAAGATAGAAGACCACATATCTCCCCAGGTGGCCTCCCTCACAAACTGCTCACAAGATAATTCCTTGTGGGCCCCAACGTGTTTACCCTAAAACAGTTTTGTTGAATTTTCCCCTGACAATGTAAATTAACAGCTTATCTTCACAGGTACAGGACAAAGACAAGACTAGAAATCATCCCTCCACCCACCCAGAGTCAAACGCATATTTGACTTTTCCACCCAATGTTTACTTTATCTTATTTAAAATGCAGATTTACTGAGCATGAGATGAATGCATAGTTGACTATTTTTTTCCTCTCCTGGCTGCTCTTTCCCCTGTACACATTAAAGTCCTCAAAAGCCTGTTAGGAAAAAGCATGGGCCACAGATGCTACAATGATTTGTGTCTCTGTTTCCAAGGTGCATCTTCAGCTTGGCGAAATAAACTTCTAAACTGACTGAGACCTGTCTCAGACGTTTTTTGGTTTACATGGCTATAGCAACTTCCTTAGTTCTTTGAGTTAGTTTAAGAATTCTCAATCCTTGGGAGGTGAGAAACCCCTGACTTTGCAGCCATGTTAGACAGAAGTGCAGGTAACCTGGGACGTGATACTTGTGACTTGCTTCTGAAGTGAGGACAGACTTGTAGGACTGAACTGGTAAACCTGTGGAGTCTGAGGCGAACTCCAGGTAGTTAGTGTCAGAATTGAGTCAAACTCTAGGACTCCCAGCTGCTGTTGGAGAATCAGAAAGTTATTTGGGTGGAAGAAAACCCCATCACCATCCCACAGAGAGAAACTTATAGTAAGAGTAAGCAAGTAAACCTCTACCTTCTTCGGTCCCAGAGGAAAAGATAAACAAATGTAAGCATTTGTTTCATGTCCCTAAACACAGGTTGCTACCAGCTGTTCATTGTCTAGACGTGGAGTGGTCCTACCTTTAATCTAGAAGTTAGGATTTTTTAGGCCTTTGAGGGTGTCACATAAAAACTAATAAATGTTAGAGATTCTCTCCCCAGAAATATTTCCACACACAAGAAAATATAAATATTAATAGAAAACATCGTGTGGACCCAGAACCTCTGAGATCTTACAAACCTGGGAGTTTTAATCCTAGTAAGAGTCATGCTGAGGGAAGATGTTTGAATAATCATTTCATCATTACAGAATGCCACTCCAATAATCTAGAGTATAAACTGGGATAGACAAAAACTTGATGTAAACCTATCCTCAAGGGAATGGGTGGAAATATGTTATTTATTAGTCACTGGTTCATTCAGCCACTCTTCGTGCCTACTGGGTACCAGATAAAGTTCTCGTCCTGGATCACTGCTCCAAGAATTAAAATTTGTCACTTTTCCCCACCCCTCACACTCCAGCACTTGAACCCTCTTACTACATCAGAATTCCACACTGTCAATGAAAAGAGTCAAACTCAGTAACATATTTAAAGAGATTTATTCTGAGCCAAAAATGAGTGACCACAGCCCATGACACAGCCCTCAGGAGACCCTGAGAACATGTGCTCAAGGTGTTTGAGGCACAGGTTGGTTTTACACATTTAAGGAATATATGAGACATCAATCAAATACATTTAAGCTATACATTGGTTCAGTCCAGAAAGTTGGAACAATTTGAAGCAAGCAAGGGTTGCGGGGTAGTGCTTCTGGGTTATAAGTAGATTTTTAATTTTTCTGATTGGCAATTGGTTGAGTTATTATCAATAGAAAGGAATGTCTGGGTTATGATAAAAGGTTGTGGAGTCCAAAATTCTCATGCAGATGATGCCTCCAGGTGCCAGGCTTCAGAGAGAACAGATTGTAAATGTTTCTGATCAGACTGAAGGTCTGTGTTGATGGTAAATGCTGGTCAACTTTTCCTGAATTCCAAGAGGGAAGAGGGCATAATAAGACATGTTCAATACCTGCTTCCCTTGGTGGCCTGAGCCAGTCTTTCAGGTTAACTTTTGAGCACCCTGGCTGAGGGTGTCCATTAAAATGATTGGGAAGGGGTGGCTTTGATGTTTATTTTTGGTTTACAACATGTAAAATGTTGAGAGGAGACAGACACCACCTCCCTCCCTGGAAGAGGACAACAACACCCCAGTCACCCCTGCAGTTGCTCATGGACATGAGTTTTAAGCTCCACCAGTCTGATGACCACCTGCTGAAGAGGTGTCATTGTCTCAGGTAAATACTAAGTGTTCGTCATCTCACGCCAAGAAGATTAAGGACACTGACACACGAGGAGTGAGTTAGGATCAAAGGGTTTAATAGGCAAAAGAAAGACAAAGGGAAACAGCTCCTTCTTGTGAGAGAGAGGGGCACCCAAAAGGGAATTCCGGCCTGGAATGGGAGTGCATCGGATTTTGCAGGCAGGCTTGAGGAGATGGTGTCTGATTTATGTAGGGCCCACAGGTTGGTTGGACCAGGTGTGATACTTACACAGTGCGTGTGGAAGGCTGTTCACCCCACCCTCATCCTATTATGCAAATGGGCTTTCCACTTGGCTGGTGACACGTTGTCTGCTCCTTACTGTAAACGTGCCTGGCAAAGAGAAGGGAAGATGGAGCCGCCATAGTGAACATGCCCAGTCCCAGGCGTCCTATTCCTATTGGACAGCTGCTGGCATTCACCCGTGCAAACTTCCAGCTTACTTGTCTATGTCTGAATCTTGATATTACAGGCTGCTCCTTGTTAGAAAAGAAAATAATTTGGAGCCTGCTTTCCATTAAAAGCCTTGCGTACCCTCACTACCTGTCTAAATAATTTCTTCTTAACTCCTATATCACTGCCAGACTCAGCCAGAATGAGGTGACAGAGAGGCTAGGACTGTGCAGAAAGCATTTTAGTAAAGAAGGCTGAGTGACAGTAGTGATGTCCAATTTCCAGATGCAGCAGTGACATCTGTCCTAGCCTCAGGGTCCAGTGTCCAGGACCAGGGTGTCAGAGGTGTGAGCAGTGCTGTCTGTGCTCAGCAGCAGAGGCATTTGTTCCTAGGAGGGACCTGATCCAGGGTGGGCTGTGAATTCTGTTCTTGGATGTGTAGTTTCCAGCCTGGTTCTGTGGCCTTCCCCGGAATAAAACTAGCCCCCAATACCAATATACAACTTTATGTGTACATTACAGAAACTTGGTTTCCATAGTTTTCTCCAAGAAGTGAGTGAGAAATGAGTCTGTGGGCGTGTCAGAGAGCGGCATTCAGAGGTGTTCTTTGTGCGAGAGCCACATCCTGAATTGTCTGCCTGGCCTCTACCCCATGGTGGAGAGAACAACAGAGAATATCACCTCTCATAACTGATGATATACAGCCTCCCTTTTCTTTCTGTGAGAAAAATCCTCTTTTCAACAGGGTTTGAAAACCCACCCCACCCACCCACCCTGGGCACTCTCTGATCACTGATCTCAGTGGCTCCCAATCTGTCTGAGCAATAGGATTGCTGGCGGGGACTTAGAAAATACACAGGCCACTCCCCAGAACCCTTGTCTCAGAGTATTATGCACAAGACCAAGGAATCATTTATATGACAAGCCCTAGAGGTGAGGCTGATGCTCAGACGTATGGGATCCTGGTGCTCTTGCTACTCCAAGTGTGATCTGGAGACCAGCAACATGAGCTCCAGCCTTGTCATAAATCCAGAATCTCTTGCTCGACTCCAGACTTCCAGGATCTCAGCACCACATCCAGATGATCCTGGTGCACATGGGGGTTCCTTGTCTGAGTGTCCTCTAGACGTGGGGCCAGAACTGTGCAGTCTGCTCTGGGTGTGGTCTGATCACACCCCTTAGAACTGGAGGTCCAGGGTTCAGTCCTTGTGCTCATTCTTTTCCATAGTCAGTCACTCCCTTTGTGCCTCATCCGTGCTTGAGGTTTTAAGTCTCATATATATGGTGTGACTTCCTAAATCTATTTCTCCAGCCCAGTCCTTTCCCCTGAACTCTGGAGTTGTCTGTCCAAATTCCACCCCAGCTCCCCCACTTGCCTTCCCGGTAGACATCTCCTCCACTGAATGCCTGTGATGCCCCCTCCTCAGGACGCTCCTGCCAGAGTCTCCCCATCTCCACTGACAGCAGCTCCACCCTTCTACTCACTCATCTTACAACTATGGGTGTCCTTGATTCGTCTTTCTCACACCACAGATACAATCCATTGGCAAATGCTGTGAGTCCATCTTCAAATGCATCCAGAATCCCCTCACGTCCCACTATTTCCCCTGCTCACGCCCCAGTCAAGGTAACCGACATCTCCAGCCTGGAATACTGCACTTGATTCCTACTGTTTTCCCTTCTGCTTCCCTCATCCCTCACCTCTCAATTCTGTTCTCAGCACAGCAGTCAGAGAGATCCTTTTAAAACAGAAGTTATATCATGGCCCTCTTCTGCTCAAAACTGTCCTCTAACTCCCCATCCCACTCAGAGCAAAGGTCAGATGCAACCCCACTCCCCTCAAGCCCACCTGTTCTGGCCGCACCTCTGACCTCACCTCAGTTTCTCTCTGTCCAGCCCTCCTGGCCTCCTTGCTCTTCTGGGAACACAGACCTTCCTGCCATAGTGCATTTGGACTGGAGCTTCCTCTGCCTGGAAAGAACTTCCCCAGATATCCTCATGTCCCTCAAATCTTTCCTCAAAAGTCACCTTTGCAACAAGGCACACACTGACTACCCAGCACAACAGCCACCTTCCCTGTCCCCACTGCCCACATCCTGGATCACCTGCCTCACAGCACTTACCACCTTCTAGCACTTTCCTTCCTTACTCTGGTTATAGTGTATCTATCGTCTGCCTCTTCCCACTGGAACATATGCTACAAAAGGCCAGAGATTTTTCTGATTTTACTTCAGTGGTGTTCCCCAGATGCAGAACCATTCTGTCCTATGTCTGGCC